>NT_187672.1:0-123111 GCF_000001405.40 Homo sapiens | reverse complement strand
CTCTCTCTCTATTACCTCTCTGTCTGCCTCTCTGTCTCTATTTATGTATCATCTATGTATATATCTATGTGTCTATCATCATCATCGTCATCATCATCATCTCTATGTATCATCTATCAGTCATCATCTATGTATCTATAACCAATCCATTATCTATCATCTACCTATTTATCATCTATCTACGTCTATCTATCCATCTATCATCTCTCTCTCTCCGTCTCCTTGTCTTTCTCTGCCTCTCAGTCTCTCTAGTTCTATTTGGAATCTCTGCAATCCATCCCCACATCTTTATCTTTCTCTGTCTTTGTGTCCCTCCCTCAGGGTTCTGATTTTGGGGCTTTTCTCTCCTCCTTTCCATCATTCTCTCCACTCTGCCCTCTTTTCTTTCTTTTTATGTGTCTGTGAATCTCTTAATCTCCTTCTTCTGGCTCATTTTGTGTGTGTTTATGTCTTTGCTTTTTGGTGTCCCTGATTTTTCTCTGTGTCTCTCAGCGATCCTATCATATGTGGGATTATTTGGAATATGAGCCTCAGAATCCAGTCTGGGGACCCCAAGTTCACACAGCATACAGGGGTTGGTGTTCTGGGGCCATGATATCCTGGGATGATTACTCTCCATTGCATGGAAGGCAGAGGTGTCAGAATAAACACGGCATCTGTAGGTGGCACAAGGCCTGAGGCCACAGGGCCCAACTCAGGTCAGAAATATGGGTGTCCTTGGGTTCTTCTGGTAGAAACACTTTGTGGAGGTAAAACAGAAATGAAACTTCTAACCTGTGCCAGGTCTCTGAGCAAAGTCAGCATGGAAGGACACCTCTCTCTGGGACATGTCTGTCTGTCTGAGTGTCTCCTTTACCTCTTTCTCTCTTTTCTACCTCCCTGTATGGCCCCTGTGTCTGTCCCCTGTTATGACACCTGTTCTGTACTTATGTCTCCTGTTTCTCTGTCTCTGTTGGTACAGACCTCACCAAGTCACTCTCTTTCCATAAGAATCCCACACTTATCTTCCTCATGACCACCTGGGGGTTCCAAGTCCTGGATCATTCACTCTGTGTCCCAGTGACAATGAGAACAATGTCTAGACACTCTCACCTGTGACCACGATGTCCAGGGGATCACTGGGAGCTGACAACTGATAGGGGGTGTGAGTAACAGAACCGTAGCATCTGTAGGTCCCTGCAAGGGCACGCATCATGGAACCGATGGAGAAATTGGCCTTGGAGACCCCATCATGGATCTGTCCAACGAGGCGTGAGGGGTCCTTAGAGATCCCCTCTTTGTGCAGAAAGAAGTGCTCAAACATGATATCTGACCAACATTGCAGGATGACTCTCTCTCCTGATTTCACCAGGGGACCTGGGTGGGCCAGGAGGGAAGGTTTTCTGTGGTTTCCTAGAAAGAGAAGTTGTGAGTTTAGAAGGCATCTCTCTTTATCATCCCATCCATGGCACCTGGAATGAGTGAGGGTTCCCCTCCCCGTGTCTGTCTCTCTCCTCCCTCTCTGCATCTCCGTGTCTTTTCTGTGCCCATATCCCCTGGTGCAGGTGCCTCCATCTGTCTTCCTCCCTCTTCTCTGTCCCTCTGTCTCCAGTAGCCCCTGACTCCCTTGCCACTGTGAAGACAGCCTCATCTCTTGGGCTGTTGTATCTGTTTCCCACTAATCTCTTTCCTGCTGTTTATATGGGGGTGGAAGAGGACAGGCTGCATGTCCAGGCTCTTAGCAGCCTGAATCAATCTCTTTTGAACAAATTGGAGTCTCTGGCAGGTGGTATCAACTCATCAGTAAGACAGACATCAGTGACCACACACCCTGTTCCTGATGGGGATTGGGAGCCTCTCCTGCCATATGTGTGCCTTCTCCATGGCCCCAGCTTCCATAGGGTGGCCCCTGGTGCTGGTTCCAGGAGCATCAACCCCTTCCTATGTGGATGGAGCCTGGTGGTAGCATCAGCATCCTGCCCTTGCTGATCTCAGGGTAGCCAACCTTCTCCTTGTTTGGTTTCTTTAATTAATTGATTAATTAATTTATTTTTGAGACAGTCACTTTTTCACCCAGGCTGGAGTGTAGTGGTGTTGTCTTGGCTCACTGAAACCTCTGCCTCCCCAGTTCAAGTGATTCTCTTGCCTCAGCCTCCCCAGTCGTTGGATTACTCGCGCCCACCACCACACCTGGCTGTCCTTGTTTGGTTTCCTAACTTGTCCTTGACCTGGGTTCCTAACTTGTCCTTGACCTGGGTTCCTGTGTTGGTTTCCTGTTGCTGCTGCAGAAAATTACCACAAACATGGCAGCAGGAGAGAACACACTGACCCCTTCCACTTCTGGAGACAGAAATTGGATCCAGTTCTCCCTGTGCTGAAATCAAGGCGTCTACAGGGCTGCGTTCCCTCTGGAGAATCAGCGAATCAGTTCTCCTGACTTCTCCAGCCCTTAGAGGCCACCTGCATTCTGTGACTAGTGGTCTTCCTCCACTTTCAAAGCCCGCAGTGGCTGATAGCGTCTCCCTCCCACTACACTGCTCTAATCCCCACTCCCCTCTTCCTCCACCTCTCATGTGGACCCTTGTGATTACACTGAGCCCAGTGGGACAGTCCAGGCTGTCTCCCCATCTCAAGGTCAACTCATCAACAACCTGAGCTCCACCTTCCCCTTCAGTCCCCTGCCCTATAACATAAATAGTCACAGGCTCCAGGGATTACAATGTAGCCATCATTGGGGACAGTTATTCTTCCCACCACAGCACCCATTTCCCCTGTATTCAATCTCCCTTGACCCCAAATACAGCCAGGGCCTGGGTGATGGGACCCTGACGGACAGCCCCACCAGAAGCTCTGGGATTCAGGAGGTGGGACAGTGAGAAGCCCAGACGGAAAGCCTCTGACCTGTGACCATGATCACCATGGGGTTGCTGGGTGCCGACCACCCAGTGGGGGAGTGTGGGTGTGAACCCCGACATGTGTAGTTCCCTGCATGTGCTGTGGTCACAGGGCTCATGTTGAAGCCCTCCTGGAATATTCTGCCATGGAAGATGGGAACGTGGATTCTGTCTTCTTTGTATAGCATGAAATTGTTAAACCTATGACGATAGTGACACCGAAGAGTCACGTGTCCTCCTCGAGGCACCACAGCGCTGGGCCAGGCAGACAGGAAGGGCTTGTCCTGACCACCTGGGGGAGAAGGAGGCACTGCCTTAGAGAGGAGGATGTGGAGCCGCCCCTCACTCCCAGTGCCCAGAAGATTCTCCCCATTTCCACTTTCTAAGGCTCCTACCACACCTGGGTGCCCAGGGCTACAGGAAGGACCCATCCTGCATAGACATGGCGTCTCCCTACAACAAGTGTCAGCTGAGAACTTTGAGCAAGTGCTGGAGAAGCAACTCTTACTAGATTTTAATACTGCAAAATTACTCATATAAAACAACACAAAGTAGACACGGCATGGAGGGCAAGTCCTATGTGAATGGAATATCAGCCAATTGATGAACTGAGCCCCCATCAGAGGATTTGGAATGTCAGGGCCATGGCTGTGGTTTCCTCACCTTTTCTGGTAGAAAGACCGCAGCCACACTGCAGCCCCTACCATCACGGAAACGCTGGAGGGTGTGAGTTACACCTTTGTCCTCAGAGGACCTGCTGTTCCTAGCACTGCTTCCCTCTCTTTCTCTGCTGCTGACACCACTTCCTCCCTGCACACCCATCTTGGAGCACCCTAGTCTCACCCCAGTCTTCACAGAGCTTGACTCAGGAAAGGGAAAGAAAGGCCGGGGAGGGCAAGGTCAGAAATGTGGGCCGAGCATCCGAGGGTCCCCTCTTCCTAGTGTATGAGAGACTCCCCGACAGGACTTCCCTCCCATTTCAGGAAAATCCTCTTATGTGGGGAGATGACACCCTAAGGTTTGGGGAAGGACTCACCCATGTGTGGACCGGCCCTCTGGACCAAGAAGAACCCTAGAAAGAAAGATCCTGATGGACCATCCATCTGCAGGCAAACCAGGGCACCCTGCTGCCCCCACTGGGCTGTGCGTCTTGGCAGCCAGGCCCTTGCTGGGCTGAAGGTAAACTCACCCTCGCTGCCTACCTGCCCCCAGGAACAAGGATCTCGGCTGTGCAGAGACTCAGCCTCCAGGCCCAGATCTCTACCTCCAGGCCTAGATCTACACAACAGGCCCAGATCTCCACTCCAGGTCCGTATCTCCACTCCAGACCCATATCTCCTCTCCAGGCTGATAAGTCCACTCCAGGCCCATATCTCCACTCCAGGCTCCTATCTCAACTCCAGGCTCATATATCCACTCCAGGCTCATATCTCCACTCCAGGCCCATATTTCCACTCCAGGCTTCTATCTCCTCTCCAGGCCCATATCTCCTTTCCAGGCTTGTATGTCTGCTCCAGGCCCGTATCTCCACCCCAGGCCCATATCTCCACTCCAGGATCATATCTCCACTCCAGGCCCAGATCTCCACTTCATGCCCTTAACTCCACCTCCGGGCCCATAACTCCACCTCTAGGCTCATATCTCCACTCCAGGCCCATATCTCCACTTCAGGCCCATATCTCTACTGCAGGCCCATAACTCCACCTCCAGGCCCATATCTCCACTCCAGGCCCATCGCTCCACTTCTAGGCCCATCACTCCACCTCTAGGCCCACATCTCCCCTCCAGGCCCATATCTCCCCTCCAGGCCCATATCTCCACCCCAGGCACATATCTCCACCCCAGGCCCATATCTCCACTCCAGGCCCAGATCTCCACTCCAGGCACATATCTCCACCCCAGGCCCCTATCTCCACTCCAGGCCCAGATCTCCACTCCAGGACCAGATCTCCACTTCAGGCCCATAACTCCACCTCCAGGCCCATAACTCCACCTCTAGGCCCATATCTTTACCTCCAGGTCCAGATCTCCATCCCCGCACTCCCTCCCTCGATTCCCTTCCAGGACTCACCAACACACGCCATGCTGACGACCATGAGCAACATGGTGCTGCCGGTGCAGACAGGCGGCTGCGCCCCAGCTCAGCTCAGCAGCGCACAGGATGTTATTTGGCGCCCTGCCCATGCAGTTTACATGTTGACCACATCATGGGAGGGTGACGTACGCAGGCTCTTTCTACCTTGCATGAGGCCCAGTGGGTGCTCGCTCAAGAGCGGAGCATGGCTTCCTGGAAATTGCTCTCACTAGAATTGACACCTCGCGTCCTTCACTATGACCAACTCAAAACACGTCTCAGATCCAACCTCCCGAACACGAGATGCCTAAAATCTGTGCTAACATGAAAGACTTTTCATGTATTTTTATTGCTTTTATCTGAGATTCAAACTCTTCTTCCTGTGTAATATGCAAAATATCTAATAGGTATTATTAAGGTTTTCAGAGCAATTGTGACTAATAAACCATTAGAATTTTTCATGATTGTATTTCTAGTATTACAGCAGAACCAGTTCAAATGATTTAAACTCCCAGGGAAGGATTATGCAATTATTTACAATCTTAGAATTGTACTTTATCAGCAAAAATCACAACATGTAAATTCTGGATTTTTGTAGATTTATCTAGAATTTGTCTCATGTCCCAAGATTCCAGAGTTCCAACTCATGGTTTGCTCTCTCTCTGTCTCTCTGCCTCCCTCATTTTAAATTTTACAGAAATATCCAGTAACATAATGCTATAGAAAATCAATTTCCCCAGCACTTTGGAAGCCGAGGTGAGTGATCAACCGAGGTCAGGAGTTTGAGACCAGCCTGGCCAATATAGTGAAACCATGTCTCTGCTAAAAATACAAAAATTAGCCATGCCTGGTAGCAGGCACTTGTAATGCCAGCTATTCAAGAGGCTGAGGCACGGAATCCCTTGAACCTGGGAGGCGGAAGTTGCAGTGAGCCGAGATCGTGCCACTGCACTCCAGCCTGGGCAACAGAGCGAGACTCTGCCTCAAGAAAAATAAAAAAAGCATAGCAAATAGCCTATAATAAATAACTAGAGGACTCCAGCTACCAAATTTTAGGGGTTGTATAAGGCTGCATAAAATGCAGCATTCTCAAGAGAGTGGACAGAGAGAGAGCCACTGAGCAGAAAACAGTGTCTAAAATACATCCGTGTACACACAGTCGCTTTATAGTTGACAAAGGCTGCCATGTGGTTTAAGGTGGAATAGAATGTCTTCTCAATAAATAACATGGGCCCAAGGGTTACACATAGAGAAAAATATATCTAAACGTATTCTCACACTATAAAACACTTGTTTATTTTATCTTGTTATTGTAATTTTTTTATGTTTTATATTTAAAATTGAGAAATAAAAATTATATACAGTCATCCCTCACTATTCGTGGGTGATTGGTTTCAGGATCTCCACTCAGATAGCACAATCTGCAGACGCTCAAGCCTCTTACATGAAATGGCACAGCATTTGCAAATAACCCATGCACATCCTCCTGTGTACATGAAATCATCCCTTGATTATTTATAATTCCTGATACAGCCTACACACAGCTTCATTTGTGTCCATTCAACATAGTTTTGCTTTTTGAAACTTTGTGGATTTTTTCTCTGAATATTTTTGATTTATATTTGGTTCAATAAACACCTGTAAATCCCACAGATACAGAGGACCGACTGTATATTTATAGTATGAAAGATGATGTGTTGATATGTGTCCCCGTGGAGATGAGACTAACAAGGCCTATGACTCTACAAATGTTTCATCATGGAATGACTCTGCCAGCTTTCCAGGTCTGCAGAGAGTAAGAATATCACTTGTTCATGTGATTCACGATCCTTGGAACCTCTTATGTGCTGCATCTTTGGATGGAAATTGGAGTCTCAGAGACAAATCAGGCTCCACCCTGCTTCCAGAAGCTCAGAGTCCAGGGGTGAGAACCCAGTGGAGAACAGTTGGAGTTATTTGGACATGGTAATGATAACACTGGAAACTTTCAGCCAAAAAAAGAGTCACCTAAAGAATGAAGGCAGACATGTTTATTTGAAGAGGAGAGAACTACACTGAAATCAAAAAAATTTTATAAGGTTTGCTGATGCCAGAAGGCTGAAAAATAGTCTGAGGAAAGGTGGAACAGCACGAGGGAAGGTGGAACAGCACGTGTCTAAGTGCCGTGTTAAGAGAGAGCCTCTTGTATGTTTGGAATTGTGAGTTCCTCAGTGTGATTGCAGCCTCAAGTAGACTAGGAAGTAAGCCAGTTAGGTTGGAGAGGTGGGCAGGGGTCAAGTGAAATAGAGAATTGTGGGCTAAGCAAAGGAGTGTGTTTTCTCTGCAGCAGGCAGTGGGGACCTTAGACATTGGTAAGCAAGAGACAGGCACCAGATTTGTGGTGTGAGGAAGAGTGATGCTCTAAGATGGAGACTCACGCCTTCAGATTCCAGCTGCTGGTACATTAGAGCTGGCAAGCTGGGTTTGAGACAGGGCTGTTGTCTCCCTAGAAGATCCCATCAAGGCCTGACTGTGGTGCTCATGGGCAGGAGACAACGCTCTGGGCTCAGCATTTGGAAGTTCTATACACACGCTGGTATCTGTTGAGGGTCTCTTGCTCCTCTGAGAAGGGCCAGTGATTTTTCTCTGTGTGAAAATGCAGTGATCCAACTGTGCGTATGTCACCTCCTGAGGGTCTTGTTCATCAGAGTCCTGGAGAGAGGGAAATCCTGAGTGAGGGAGGGTGTTCACATTTTTCAGGACTATTAGGGAATAAGACTGTATCCATGAGGCTGGGCTAGGAGGACCTACCTCCCTGTTCACTGTTCTGTGTCCCGCAGGCTCTTGGTTCATTACAGCAGCATCTGTAGGAGACGGAAGCAATCGAAACAGCTGGGAGGGCACTTCTGGGTCCTCATTTCATGAACAGATACCAACACACAGGGGGAGGCCATAGGTGCCTGAGGTCCCTCAGCTGCCAACAGCCAGACTCAGACATTCCATCTCTCTGAGTGCAAGACCCCATTCCATGAATAGCTGTCAGTTCCCATCCCATTGATTCTATCTCCCACTTTCTGCCTGTCATGGAATCTTCTCCTGGATGTGAGTGGCTGCAGGGGACGTGAGGATACAGTTCACAATCAGGCAATGGTCTGTGAGCTGAAGGCAGGGGCAGGGTGTCTGGTGCTCTCTCTAGAAAGCTCTGCCTCTGGCTCCTGCCTTGGGCCAGAGACTTTCCTGCCAGTGAGGAACACACACCTGCGTGCTCCCATCCTGCTTCCGCACAGGGCCCTGAGTTCTCTGGCCTCTGCTTCGTGAGGCTTACTTTTTTTTTTGGAGCACCAGCGATGAAGGAGAAAGAAGGGAAGGATGGTGAAGAGGATGATGGCCACTGAGTACCTAATCACAGCATGCAGGTGTCTGGCGATACCTGGAGGAAGATGAGAATCCAATAAGAAGCTAACCATAGCAGTTCCTCTTTGTGGATTGTCTCTCATTTCTTGGTTGCCAGGCAACCACATAAAACACCTCTTTAGGACAAGCACCCACGAGGCGGGAGACCCAGCTTTCTCCTGCTTTCTCCGTTATAGTTTTCATAATAACAATAGAATGTGCTGATGATACAACTGCTATTGTTTCAATGTTTGACCCCTCCAAACCCCACTTTGAAATTTAATCCCCAGTGTGGGAGGTTGTGCCTATTGGGAGGGGTGTTTTGGTCATGGGGGTGGATCCATCATGAATAGATTAATGCTGTCCCCAGAGGACGGGGTTAGCAAGTTCTCCCTCTATTAGTACCCTGGAGAGTTGATTCTTAAAAAGAGCTTGGAAGCTCCATCACACCCCCTTTCTCCCTCTCTTGCCATGTGATCTCTGTGGTCTCTGCACACGCAGGACCCCCTTCTCTTCTGTCAGTGTGGGAGCAGCCTGAGGCCGCAGCCAGAAATAGATGGTAGTGTCCTGCTTCTAGTACAGCGTGCAGATCAGTGAGCCAAACACATCTCTTTTCTTTAGAAGATACCCAGGCTCAAGTGTTCTTTTATAGCAACAAAAATAGGCTAAGACAGCAACATCCTGAGATCAGGAGGAACGTCTCAGAACAGCCTGGGCTGTCTTCCTGTTCTTCCTGGAGGAGAACATCATGCAGTGCTTTAGCTGAGTGTTCCCTGTGGCTCCAGGGTACAAAACCCAGGCTGGGCTGCTTTCTGGCTTCCCCCAGCTACAGTGCACATGAAGTGACTCCATGTGTCCTGAGCAGTTTTTCTGAGCCTTGAGGGACTGGCTCACCCTGAAAGGAAGGTTTCTGTTGTCACTCGCTGCTTATCTATAAGTAATGAACCTGCCTATGTAATGTATTCCCTGTGTGTTCTGTCTCCCTGGAGTGATGGTGAGTGATAGAAATTGGCACAGCCCCAGGTGCAGTATGGGAGGTGTTTAGAGTCTTCTCTGGGAAGACTGGACTGGGATTGATACACAGTGAATGTGCTTTACAGTTTCTACATCCACAACCCTCTTGACTCAAACAAATTACATTCTCCAAGAAAAGGAAAAAACAGTGACATTGAAATCAACATAAGTGAGGTTGAGCTGTCTTATATCAAACAGCCAGGAAATAATGATGAAGCTCGTGGGCAACATGCTACTTTTGTCATCTTGGGAGTCAGATATTAGGCTGCTGTTCCACCCGAGAGTCTGGGGGAAAGACCACCCCCTCCATCATCTGTTGCTTCAATACAGCCTGTCTTTCTGTGAATTACTCCAAAAGGTGACCAGGAGATAGTGCTGGCACTGGTCTCTGAGTCTACGATCTGAACTCCAAAGAATATTAGTTTTTACCTCCCCATGATCTATCTGTATCATTAATGTGATTGGAAGTAGGGGTGAGGTGGGGGATTTGGGTGAAGGGGCAAGTTTTGTGCCATGAACAGATCACGTTGTCTATTCCAGGACCTGCGCTGGTGGGTTTCACATTTTCCATATGATCTCATGCTCACAGAAAGCCAAATAAGGAAGATGTTTTCGCCTGATTTTCTTACGGATAGGATAAAGGATCAAAGAAGTCATTATAGAGAAATAGAAAAATGATGATTGGAATTGGTGTGCCTTTGTCATTCGTGTATGTTATATTATATTTATGTATTCTTTATTTTTATTTTTTGCCATGGAGTCTCACTCTGTCACCTAGGGTGCAGTGCAATGACGCGATCTTGGCTCACTGTAACCTCTCCCTCCCTGGTTGAAGCCATTCTCCTTCTTCAACTTCCCGAATAGCTGGTATTACAGGCACGCGCCACCACCCCCAGCTAGTTTTTGTATATTTAGTAGAGATGGGGTTTCACCATGTTGTCCAGGCTGATCTCGAACTCCTGATCTCACTTGATCCAGCCTCCTCAGCCTCCCAAAATGTTGGGTTACAGGTGTGAGCCACCGTTCAGAACCTTGTGTGTTATATTATAATAGGTCTCTTCCTTTGCACCACCCCTCATGTATCTCTCACTCCTCTGCCAAGTATTGATTTACATGTAGGAAAAATAAATCTCAGAAAGAAATCAATGAAGTGAAGATTAAACAATTAGGAAAAATCAAACCAGGCAAGCCCTCCCTGCAAATTACTCTACCTCACAAACACATCTTGTGTCCATCTTTCATTCATTTAGTGTCTAAATCAGCACCACATTTCACCAGGGGGGCGGGAATTGCCTTTTCCACAGTCTCCTAGATTCCAGTTATGCACCTGGGCCTCCCTTATTTTCATGTCAGTCACTATTCATCATGTAGGGATTCCCAGTTAGCCCCGAGGTAAGTCCAATGGCTGTGAGTATCAAACACACGCTCCTTGTTCCTCCTTAGTTTCCTGTGTACCCAGAGTGCTCTCTGTCTCTCCACAGTCGTCTTGTCATTCTCCCCATGTCATTCCCAGCATTTCAGGCAGAGCCTCTTCCTTCCACATAACATTGTTTTCACCTTTGTGCCTTCACGGCTGACAGCTGTGTGGAAAATCCTTCCGCCAATCTTCCAGGGGTTGATCTATTTTTTTCATTAAGGTCACAAGTATTATTTGATCAGTGAGAACTTCTCTGTCACCCGAAATTATACACTCAGCATTATCTATTATTTCTTTTAAAATACGGCTCGGCGCCTTGGCTCACGCCTCTAATCTCAGCACTTTGGGAGGCTGAGACGGGCGGATCCCTTAAGGTTGGGAGTTTGAGATAGCCTGGGCAACATGGTAAAACCTTGTCTGTACTAAAAAAAAAATACCAAAAAAAAATTAGCCAGGCGTGGTGGGACATGGGTGTAATCCCAGCCTCTCGGGAAGCTGAGTGTAGAGAATCGCTTTAACCTGGGAGGTGGAGGTTGCGGTGAGCCGAGATCCCGCCACTGCACTCCAGCCTGGGGCACAGAGGGAGACACCGTCTCATAAAAACAACCAATCAATCAATCATTCTCATGCACAGATGCTTCCCAATGGATCATTCATTTATTGGTCCACTGGTGTATTCATTTTCTGCCCTCCCATTTAATCCTTTGCAATATCAGTGTCCAAGAGCAGAGGCCAAATGCACCTTGTTTACCATTTGTGGAAAGGATAAGAATGCCGCCCCACCCCAAAATGTTCCTGTCCTAGTCGCCATATCTTGTGAATATGTTATTTTACATGGAAAAAAGGAATGCAGATTGCAGATGGAATTACGGTTGCTAATCAGCTAACCTTAAAAGGAGGGTATCCTAGATGATTTTAGGGAAATTATGATGGATTATCTTGGTGTTTCCAATAGAATGCCAAAGTCCTTAAAAGATGAGGAAGAAGGCAGAGCAGCATTCAGAGAAAGAGGTGTGGACAAGGAAGAAGGGTCTGAGTGATGCCGTGTGAGAGGCGTGACCAGCCTTTGTGGACTTTGAGGGAGGAAGACGGGGACCAGGAGCCAAGGAATGTGGGAGCCTCTAGGAGCTGGGAAAAGTGAGGAAGCAGATTCTTGCCTGGAACATTCAGAGGGAAGGCAGCCTTGCTGTCACCTTGATTTTAGCCCAGTGAGATGATGCATTTCATACTTCTGAGCTACAGCACCATGAGATATTTTTTAAAAATGTGGTTTCCATCCACGAAGCTTGTGGAAATTTGTTATGGCAACATAGGAAAAAGTTCCACACTGCACAGTCTGAGCATGGGGCAGTGGCTGAACGAGTAAGTGGAAGTGTCATGTGCACGGATGAACTACGTTCTCTCTTACCGCAAAGCTCTTGTTCCACTAAGTCAACCAGGGTTGGATCATGACAGACAGGAGCTCATTCCTTGGCAAGTAGAACTTCTCTACAAACACACCACCCTCAAAAATGTTCCCCTTCCTTCCCCTTCTCAAGCCCCCAGGCATTTGTCCTCCCAGTTAGGAATGCAGGCAGAACAAACACAGCATTTTTCCTGAGAAGAATGTCTGATTTGCACTCATCCTTCTACCCTGAGGTCTCAGCAGCAGAAAATTAGAGATTAAGAGATTTCACTGAGCCCTGTGCTGGGCCCAGATCCCTTTCGCTGTTGGAGTGTCTGGGGTTCAGAGACAATGGAAGACAGGCCCACAATCACAGAGCTGGCAGGTGCTGAGCCAACGCTTGAATCCAAGGCTTCTACCTCCCCAGGTTTCCAAAAGCAGAGATAAGAGGGGTCCTTCACTTACCAGTTTTGAAGCTTGGTTCAGTGGGTGAAGGCCAACTACTAGAAGGGTTTCCTAGAACATGGGACAGGAGAGAGGTGTGGCAATGAGGATGCCTGTCTTTTCTACTCAATGGAAATCTTTGAGGTTGGTTCATGGCCAACCTTCTATTATCTAATGTTGGGCCCTGGGAGTCCTGGCATCCCATTCTCCATAATCATTGTAGGTGACACCAACTATCTTGAGACTTCAAGGTATAAGGAGAAAACAGGAGCATCACACTACCTGACTTAAAAATATGTTACAGAGCTGTAGTAAGCAAAACAACATGACATTGGCATAAAGAAAAGCACATAAAACAATGAAGCAGAATGAAGAACACGGATGTAATCCACCCATTTACATCCAATGGACTTTGACAAAGGTTCGAAGAATCTACAATCTGGAAAGGACAGTCATTTCAATAAATGGTGCAGGGAAAACTGGATATCTACATGCAGAGGGATGAAACTGCACCTCTACCTCTCACCATACACAAAAATCAGATGAAAATGGATTAATGACTTAAGACCTGAATCCATTAAATGTCTAAAAGGAAACACTGGAGAAATGCTCCAGGACATTTGTCTGAGGGAAGACATTTTGTTTAAAACCTCAAAAACACAAGTAATCACAACAACAACAAAAAAAATAGACCATTGGGATTATATCAAATCAAGCAGCTTCTGCACCGCAAAGGAAGCAACCAATGAAGTGAAGAAGAGAAAACCCACAGAATGGGAGCAAATATTTGCAAACTATGCATCTGAGATGGGATTAATAACTAGAATATAAAAGAAGCTCAAACACCTCAATAAAACTAATAATTTAATTATAAAATTAGTAAAAGACCTGAACAGACATTTCTCAATGAACAAAACATACAAATGAACATATATACATTGCATATATGAAAAAGTGCTCAGTATCACTAATCATCAGAGAAATGCAAATGAAGTCACAATGAGCTATCATCTCACCCCATTACAATGGGTTTTATCTCAGAGACAGACAAAACAAATGTTGGCAAGGTGGTGGAGAAAGGAGAACCCTGATACACTGTTGATAGGAATGTAAATTAATACAGCCATTACAGAGGAGAAGAATATGGAAGTTCCTTAAAAACTGAAAAGAGATTAGGCACTGTGGCTCACGCTTGTAATCCCAGCACCTTGGGAGGCTGAAGTGGGCAGATCACTGGAGGTCAAGAGTTCGAGACCAGCCTGGCTAACATGGTGAAACCCCGTCTCTACTAAAAATACAAAAATCAGCCAGGCTTGGTGGCGGGCACCAGTAATCCCAACTACTCGGGAGGCTGAGGCTGGAGAATCACTTGAATCCTGGAGGTAGAGGTTGCAGTGAGCCCAGGTGGTGCCATTGCACTCCAGCTTGGGCAACAAGAGTGAAACGCTATGTCAAAAAAACAAAAAGCATAAAACAAAACCTAAAAAGAGAACATCCAGAGGATCTAGCAATTCCACTAGTGGGTGTAAATGCAAAGAAAAGGACTTCAGTGTATTGAAGTGACATCTGCACTCCCATGACTGTTCCAGCACTGTTCACAGTAGCCAAGATGTGGAGTCAACCTACCTGCCCATCAGTGGATGAATGGATAGAGAGAATGTAGTACATACACACAATGGAGACAACTCATCCATAGAAAGAGTAACGTCCTGTCATTTGCAGCCACATGGATGGACTAGAGGTCATTACAAGGATTGCCATTTCTTACTCACATGCAGGATGTAAAAGGTGGACCTCATGAAGGTAGAGAGTAGAATGGTGGATACCAGAGGTTAGGAAGGAAGGGGTGGAGGGTAACAAAAGAAGAATATAAAAGTATTTATTTATTTATTTATTTAGAGACAGAGTCTCTCTGTGTCACCAGGCTGCAGTGCAGTGGCATGATCTCAGCTCACTGCAACCTCCTCCTCCTGGGTTTAAGCCACTCTCCCGCCTCAGCCTCCCAAGTTGCTGGGATTATAGGCGCCTGGCACCATGCCTGGCTAATTTTATTTTTTTTGTCTTTTTAGTAAAGATTGGTTCCCCCATGTTGGCCGGGCTGGTCTCCAGCCCCTGATTTTAAATGATCCACCTGCCTTGGCGTCTCAAAATGCTGAGATTACAGGCGTGAGCCACCGCACACAGCATATAAAGGTATTTATGATCCCTAGATTTTACACTTAAAAATGGTAAAGTTGATAAATTATATAGGTATATTTAACCTCAATCAGCATTTTTTCAAAGGAAAAGAAAAAGTGTAGGGGTTGCTGGTGATGACATCTCTGTGTAGGTGAGAGGCCAGGGTGGGCTTCTGGGAAATGGGTAAGGTTGAGGGGCTGAGGGAACCTCTGATCTCCCCAAACTGAGCCCAGTCTCCCTCCTCTGGGTCTGTCCTGACCACTTTCTCCATCTGCCTGGGTACCCGGAGCCCTTACTGCAAGCTTCCATGCAGGCCATGCAGGAGGGTTTGGAGGTGCCCTGTCTGCCATCCTGTGCCCTGATCCCACCCTCACACCATGCTGCATCTTCTCTCCACATCTGTCCATGCTTCTCTCCATCATCAGCAGGAAGCTCCTCAGCTAAGGCTCTAGGACCATAGGACATGGGACAGACATTGGCTTTCCTCACCTGTGACAGAAACAGGCAGTGGGTCACTCGCGTCTGACCACTCGTAGGGAGATCCATGGAAAGAGCCGAAGCATCTGTAGGTCTCTCCGTGGGTGGCAGGACCCAGAGGGAAGTCGGCCTGGAATGTTCCATTGATGCTGGGCACTGCAGGGAGCCTAAGTTCATGGGCTTCCCCCTCCCTGGATAGATGGTAGATGTCAAAGGAGCTCTGGGAGCTGCAGGACAAGGTCACGTTCTCTCCTGTGCGAACCGTGGGGCCCGGCCGGGCTGTAAGCGAAGGTTTCTCATATAGACCTGGAAGGAGAAGAGGCAGTTTCCTCAGGGAGGTTCTTCCTTGTCACAGCTCCCCTCCCACCTGAGCTGAGAACTCACTGCCCTGCTCTATGGCCTAGTGCTCTCTCTCTCTCTCTCACCCTCCACCCCCAACTCTTCCTGTCGATCCCTCCCTATGTGGTTCCAGCCTGGTGGTGGCATCAGCAGTGCACCCTTGCTGATCTCAGGGTAGCCAACCTTCTTGTTTGGTTTTTTAACTTGTCCTTCACCTGGGTTCCTGTGTTGGTTTCCTGTTGTTGCTGGAGAAAATTATCACAAACATGGCGACAGGAGAGAACACACTGACCCCTTCCACTTCTGGAGACAGAAATCAGACCCTGTTCTTCCTGGGCTACAATCAAGGCATCTGCAGGGCTGCATTCCCTCTGGAGACTCGGGAGAATCAGTTCCATTGATTTCTCCAGCCCCTTCGTGGCTCGTGGTCTTCCTCCACCTTCAAAGCCCACAGTGGCTGGTGGAGTATCCCACGATGCTGCTCTAATCCCCATTCTCCTCTTCCTTCTCCACTCATATGGACCCTTGTGATTACACTGAGCCCAGTGGGAGAGTCCAGGCCATCTCCCCATCTCAAGGTCAACTCATCAACAACCTGAGCTCCATCTTCCCCTTCAGTCCCCTGCCCTATAACATAGTCACAGGCTCCAAGGATTACAATGTGGCCATCGATGGGGACACTTATTCTTTCCAACACAGCACCCATTCCCCTGTATTCAATCCCCCTTTACCCCAAATATAGTTGGGGCCTGGATGATCGGACTCTGGTGGACACCCCCACCAGAAGCTCTGGGACTCAGGAGGTGGGACAAGGAGAAGCCCAGACAGGAGCCCTCTGACCTGTGACCATGATCACCAGGGGGTTGCTGGGTGCCGACCACTCAGTGGGGGAGTGCGGGTGAAAACCTCGACATCTGTAGGTCCCTGCGTGTGCTGGGGTCACAGGGCTAATGAGGAAACTGTTCCAGAATATTCTGTTGTAGAGCTCAGGGACAGGGACCCCATCTTTCTTGTACAGCGTGAAGATGTTAAACCCACGACGATAGTGACACCGAAGAGTCACGTGTCCTCCTTGAGGCACCACAGCGCTGGGCCAGGCAGAGCAGAAGGGCTTGTCCTGACCACCTTGGGGAGAAGGAGATGCCGCCTCAGAGAGGAGTATGTTGAGCTGCCCCTCCCTCCCTGTGCTCAGAAGATTCTCCTCATTTCTTCTTTCTAAGGCTCCTACCACACCTGGGTGCCTGGGGCTACAGGAAGGACCCATCCCGCATAGACGTGGCGTCTCCCTACAACAAAAGTGTCAGTTGAGAACTGAGCAGGTGCTGAGTAAGGGACTCTTACTAGATTTTAATACTGCAAGATTAGTTACACCAAACAACACAAAGTAGACATGGGGTGGAGGGTATGACCTTTGTGAATGGAATATTAGCTAATGCCTGAACCACAATAAACAACTGAGCTCCATCAGAGGATTTGGAATGGCAGGGTCGTGGCTGTGGTTCCCCCACCTCTTCTGGCAGAATGACAGCAGCCACACTGCAGCCCCTACCGTCATGGAAACGCTGGAGGGTGTGAGTTACCCTCTTGTCCTCAGAGGACCTGCTGTTCCTAACACTGCTACCCTTCCCTCCTCTGTCGGTGACACCACATCCCCCCACACACCCCAGCTTTGAGCACCTCAGTATCCCGCCTGGGCCACACAGAGCTCAACTCAGCCATGGGGAAGAAAGGCTGGGGAGGGCTAAGACAAAACAGAGGGCTGAGCATACCAGGATCTCCTCTTACTAGTTCATGAGAGACTCCCAGGATCTCCTCTTACTAGTTCATGAGAGACTCCCAGGATCTCCTCTTACTAGTTCATGAGAGACTCCCAGGATCTCCTCTTACTAGTTCATGAGAGACTCCCAGGATCTCCTCTTACTAGTTCATGAGAGACTCCCCCCAGGCCTTCCCATGGTCAGCCCATCAGCCCACCCTCTGTGCTGCCTCCCTCCCATTTCCGGAAAATTCACTTGTATTGGGGTGAAGATGGCAACCCATCATTTGGGGAAGGACTCACCCACGTGTGCCCACACACTCTGGTCCAAGAAGAACCCTGCAAAGAAAGATCATGATGAACTATTCATCTCGGCACCAACCTACCCTTTCCTCCTGAGCCACTGGGCGCCACGCTGGACTGAAAATTAACTCATCCTCACCACTCACTTGCTTCAGAACATGGCTCTCTGCTGGGGAGACACCCAATCTGCAGGCCCATAGTGTAACCCTGGTGCTCCTTCCCTTCCAGGACTCACCAAGACATGCCAGGATGATGACCGTGGGTGACATGGACATGGTGCAGCTTCTGCTGCCAGGACGCAGTGACTCGGCTCGACTGACCGGTGCAGAGGATGTGGTGAGGGGCCCGGATCGTGCAGTTGACACATTGACCACAACATGTGAAGGGGACATAGGTAGGCTTCTTCTACGTCATATGAGGTTCAAGTGGTGAGTCAGTCAAGGGAGGAATGAGGGTTTCTGAAAACTGCAGACTAGACTTGTCAGTTCACATCATGCGCAACGGCCAGGCTCAAAACACATCTCAGACTCACTTACCCCTGCACGGGACGATTGAATTCTGCACTCACATGAGGAACTTTTGATGTATTTTTTTTTGTTTCTACCTGAGATTCAAACTCTCCTTGATATGTAATATGCAAAATACCTAATAGGTTTTATTAACACTATAGAGCAATCGTATTAAATAAATCATCATAATTTTCCATGGTTGTATTTTTCCTGTTAAGCCAGAAACAGATAAAATGATTTAAATCCCAGTAGAAAAGACTATATAGTTATTTCGCATCATAGAATTCCACCTTATTAGCAAAAACACAATATGTCAATTGAAGGTCTGGTCGTGTTATCTAGAATTTGTCTTATGACACAAGAGTCCAAATTCACAGTTCCCTGTCTCCCTTTTTGTCTCTCTGTAACGTGTGCTTTTTTTCTCCCTGTGTTGTTTGTGTGTCTTTCTTTCTCTCTCTCATTTGAGGAAAAAATATCAGACTGATAACATCCTCCAACTTGATACTGGAATATTGCAATAACTGAAGGTTGAAATCTACACATTTAATGTGCTGTCATTCTTACAAATGTCTCTTATTTACACCTACCTTTCTGGAGTTTGTAAGAACTTTTTCACTATGCATTTTAAATTTGTAAAACTCATAATTTTTAAAAAGGGATGGGTCTCACTGTTTGCCCAGGGTGGCCTTTACTCATTCTATAAGGCTGGCATCACCCTGATACTAAAGACAGAAAAGAATATTAAACAAAAGAAAACTACATGCCAATATTCCTGATGAGCATAGATGCAAAAATCCACAAAAAATACTAAGAACTGAATCCCGCAGCATATCAAAAAGTGAATCCACCATGATCAAGTCAACTTTATTCTTAGGGTGCAAGGTTGGTTGAACATACACAATCAATACATGTGATTCATCACCTAAACAAAACTAAAAACAAAAACCACATGATCTTCTCAACACACATGTAGAACATACTTTTTACTAAGCATTTCTTCATGTTAAAAGCCCTCAACAAGCTAAGCATTGAAGAAACATAACTCAATATAATAAGAGCCGCCTATGACAAACCCACAACCAACATCATACTGAATGAGTAAAAGCTGGAAGAAGTTCCCTTCATAAGTGAAACAAGACAAGAATGCCCACTCTCACCATCCTATTCAACATAGTACTTGAAGTCCTAGACAGAGCCATCAGGAAAGAGAAAGAATTATAAGGCATCCAAGTAAGAAGAGAGTAGCAGAGAGAGGTAGTCAAATTACCTCTGTTTGAAGATGAGATAATTTCTATACCTAGAAACCCCATAGTCTCTGCCCAAAGGCTCCTACATCTGAGAAACAAACTTCAGCACAGTTTAAGGGCAGAAAGTCAATGTACAGGCTGGGTGTGGTGTCTCAGCCTGAAATCTAGCACTTTGGGAGGGCGAAGCGGGTGGATCACCTGAGGTCTGGAGTTCGAGACCAGCCTGGCCAACATGGCGAAACCCTGTCTCTACTAGAAACACAAATATAGCCGGACGGGGTGGTACGCAACTGTAGTCCCAGCTGCTTGGGAGGCTGAGTCAGGAGAACCGCTTGAACCTGGGAGGCAGAGGTTGCAGTGAGCGGAGATCACGCCATTGCACCTCAGCTTGGGCAACAACAGTGAAACTGCGTCTCAAAAAAAAAGCCAAAACAAATTTAATTAATGAGGAAAAGGGTATTTGTGGTGTCCATCATGATGTTTTCATATAGGTACACATTGTGGAATGGATGAAACAACCTCTTTATCTATTTATTTTTTCACATACTTGTATGTTTTGTGTGTGTGGTGAGAACATGTAAAATCTAATCTCTTAGTAATGTTCAATACACCATATGTTGCTATTAAATGGAGTCACCAAGACATACAATAGATCTCTTGAACCGATTTCTTCTAACTGAAATTTTGCATCCTTTGACCAACATCTCTTCAATCTCTCTCCTTCCCAGGTTCTTTCGACGACCATTTTACTGTTCCTCTAGGTTCCACTTCTTACACTCCACACATGAGATCATGTGGCATTTGTCTTTCTGTGCCTGGATTGTTTCCCTTAACATAATGTCCTCTAAGTTTTTTCACATTGTCACAAATGAGAGGACTTCCTTCTTTGTTGTAAAGGTTGTATAGTACTTCATTACGTTCCTATCGTATACCACGTTTTCTTTGTCCATGCACCCATAGATGGGCAGTAAGGGTGATTCCACATCTTGGCTGTTATGAATAATGCGGCTGTAAACATGGGAATGCAGATATCTCTTCAACATACTGATTCCACTTCCTTTGGATACATGCGCAGTAGTTGGATTGCAGACACATATGGGAATTCTATGTTTAATTTTTTCAGGAACTTCCAGACTGTTTTCCATAATGGTTGTGCTAATTTACATTCCCATCAACTGCATACAAATGTTCCCTTTTCTCCACATCCTCGTTAACCCTTGTTATTTTTTATGTTTTTGATAATGGTCTTTTTTTTTTTTTTTTTGAGACTCAGTCTTGCTCTGTCACCCAGGCTGGAGTGCAGTGGCACAATCTCGGTGTACTGCAACCTCTGCCTCCTGGGTTCAAGCGATTCCCCTGCCTCAGTCTCCAGAGTAGCTGGGACTACAAGTGTGCGCCACCAAACTCTGCTAATTTTTGTATTTTTAGTAGGGATGGGATTTCACCATATTGGCCAGGCTGGTTTCGAACTGCTGACCTCAGGTAATCTCCCTGCCTCGGCCTCCCAAAGTGCCTGAATTACAGGCATGAGCCACCATGCCCAGACTGTTAATGGTCATTCTAAGAGGTGTGAGGTGATATCTCATTCTAGTTTTAATTTTTATTTAGCTGATGTTTAGTAATGCTAATCATTTTTTCATATACCTTTTGGTGATTTGTCTTATTCTTAGAAATGTTTATTCAGATACTTTGCCCATTTTTTTAAGTTGGGTTATTTGATTTCTTACCATTGAGTTGTTTGAGTTTCTTATATATTTTGGATATTAATTCCTTATTAGATGTATGGGTGCAAATATATTCTCCCATTCCATAGGTTGTCTTTCCACTTGTTGAGTTTTTTTTTTTCTTTGCAGAAACTTTCAATTTGATATAATGTTATTTGTCTACTTTTGCTTTTGTTGCCTGGGCCTTTGGGTTAATATCCAAAATGGTTTTGCCCAAGCCAGTGGAGTTTTCCCTTGATTTCTTTTAGTAGTTTTTTTTTTTTTTAAGATGGAGTCTCACTCTGTTGCCCCGGCTGGAGTGCAGTGGTGCGATCTCGGCTCACTGCAACCTCTACCTCCTGGGTTCAAGTGATTCTCCTGTCTCAACCTCCCGAGTAGCTGAGATTACAGGCACCCACAACCACACCCAGCTGTTTTTGTATTTTTAGTAGAGGCGGGATTTCACCATGTTGGCCATGCTGGTCTTGGAATCCTGACCTTAGGTGATCTGCCCGCCTTGGCCTCCCAAATTGCTGGGATGATAGTCTTTCATCTTACATTTAAGTCATTAATCTATCTTGAGTTGACTTTGTATGTTTTGTGAGGCAAATGTCCACTTCCATTCTTCTGCATGTCTCCCAATCCCATTTATTAAAGAGACTGTTCCTTCTCCATTGTGTGTTCTTGATACATCCCAAAAATTGTTTGACCCTAAATGCGTGCATTTTTTTTCCTGGGCTATGAATCACTTCCATTGGTCTATGTGTCTGTTTTTATGCAAGTACTGTGTTGTTTTAATTACTGTAACTTTGTAATGTAGTTTGTGTTTAGGTAATGTGATGCTTCCAACTTTGTTCCTTTCCCTCTAGATGGCTTTGGTTATTTGAGATCTTTTGTGGTTCCACATGAATTTTAGGACTGTTTTTTCTATTTCTGTAAAAAAAAATGTCATTGGATTTTTGATAATGGTTGCATTGAATCACTTTGGATAGAATGGACATTTTAACAACATTAATCCTTCTGATCCGTGAACATGGAATATCTTTCGATTTATTTGTTTATTTCTTGAGTTTTTTCATCAATGTTTTATAGCTTTTGCATACAGATCTTTCTACTCCTTGGGTGAATTTATTCCTGCATGTTTTGTTTTCTGTAGTTATTGCAAATGGGCTTATTTTCTTGTAAACTTTTTTGGATAGTTTGTTGTTAATGTATAGAAACTTTGTTGTTGTTGTTGTTGTTGTTTTGATGATACCCATCCTAAGGGGTATGAAATGGCATCTGGTGTAGTTTTAGTTAGTATTTCCCTAATGATTCGTGATGCTGAATATCTTTTCATGCGTATGTTCTTTGGAGAAATGTCTGTTTCAGTACTTTGCCCATTTTTGAATTGAGTTTATTGTGATTGAGTTTTAGGAGTTGTCTGTATATTCTGGATGTTAATCCCTTACAGGTGGTGTGGTTTGAAAACATTTTCTCCCATTCTGTGGGTTGTCTTTTTACTTTGATAATATCGTCTTAAAAGTTCTTTTTCCTTGCCATGTGAAGTAACTGATGTTGTCTTTTGAGTCACAATATTTCAAAATTTTCATAAAGTCTAACTTGTTTATTTTTTCTGTAGTAGCCTGTGCCGTTGTTGTCACATCTAAAGAATCACTGCCAAATCCGATGTTGTGAAGTTTTCCTTTGTGTTTTCTTCTAAGACTTTAATTAAATTTTATTTGTCAATATTTAGGACTGACAAAAGCTTTTTAACATTCCTGGCACCATCTCAGTTATTGATCTACTCCCAAGATGGATCATTTCAATTAAAACATGTAAAGCATGACCTCACCTGAATGTGTTTGAACTTGCTCTTCTCCCTTTCAAATCGACTCCCTCACTTACATAGTTTGTGTTCAAATGTCAACAAATAAAACATAAAAAGAAATCAATCTTTTCATAGACCCTTTATCTAAAATAGAATAGTAGGTGCCATGACATTTCATCCTTTCATCTTGAATTATTTACTTTTCTACATGAACCAATCCATTCTTCTGTGTGCATGTGTGTGTGTGTGTGTAGTTTATCTGTCTACATATAATGTAAACACCAAAAAATAACAGACATTTAGTAATTTTCAAATGAGACTTCAGGAATTAACAATGGCTTGCCATTTTTAGTGTGTTATTATTATTATATTTAGATGAACAGAATTGCCTCAGGAACATGGCCAGGGGCTCATAGTCCAGGAGAACTGTGGCCTGACTCAGGTACATTTTACCTGCAATAACAGCAATTGCAGGTCACTGGAGTCCATCACAATTGGCTGGAGACAAATGTAAGACAAGAATATTTGCAGTTTCCCCAGACTGACACAGTTGCAGGTTACCTGAAGTAATGAGTCCTGAGACACCTCCAACAAGAGCTAGAAAAGGTATCACTTCAAGAGGAGTTGCAGCCTACTCATTTTAGACAAATGGAGCAAAATTACAGTATCACATCTTTTCCTTTCTCCTTCATAGAATCTGGATGAACAGAACAGAAAGAGTTAATGGAATATAAGATTCCAATTCTCTGGCATGAGAAAATAGACAAGGAAAGGAAGATTCATCTTCATCACATCTCAGACATGCTTGGACACAGGGTCCAAGCACAAAAGAGAAACACATACTTCTTCCCATCCACACTGGGATCCAGGGTCTTCTCCCTCCTGTCAGGCCAGAACTGAGTCTCCACTCCCCAATTTAGTTCCCAGAGATGAAGCCCAATTTTCCTCTGTCTCAAGCTTTGAAGGCCAGCTTTAGCGTGTTCACCATGGATGAATGAAGGTGAGGTCAGAGGTTTGGGAAATGGTCAAGAATGAGGTGAGAAGAGAGCTGTGGAGGCATGGCCCCGGGGAGCTTGGTACCCCCCCATATCCAGAGCCTGTCTGGTCCAGGAGAGTTCCCAACCCTGTGAGCACCAACTCCGGATATTCTGGGCAGTGACCCGAGGGACAGCCTCTTATGAATACAGGCTGTTTTCCTCCAGTGTCTGCTGTGAAACCAGGATGTACAACATGGCCGTGTTCAACCCAACAATGGACTTAGGATTTTGCTGTACGCCAAAACTCAGTGTCCAACTTCCACTCTGTTTAGCTGGAAAAAGAAGGGGTTTGTTCCCATACATCTCACTCCTGTGTTCCTCTTTCAGTCTCAAAGCTCAGATGAAAACAATGAGTGTCACTTATTGTCAATCCTCTTCCCTGCCTTTTCCACACTCATCAGTATTACCGTTTACATTGAGACTAAAGATGGCCAATCACCACTTTTCTTCGGAAAAATCAACCTGATGTTGTACCTACTTTTTTAGAGGTGGAATCAACCTACCCTAAGATGCCAACTACATTTTACTGAATGGACTTTTGTGGATCCCCTCGTTGTATATAGTGGCACCTTGAGGTATCATCCCTGTCTTTAGCAAATGAATATTATCCCAAGGACAATATTTCATCACAATTATTCGGGATGGACGAGTGGATATTGTGGTAGCAAGAACATTACTAAAAGTCACAGCTGATACAACACACTTGAAACCCATCTGGCCAATCTCCCACAGACAGAATGTCGCGCCATTCACTCCAGCCAGCTTCAGTCATGTTTCTTCCATTTCCACCTGTGGCCCCTCATGTCTCCACCAGGTCTTAGCCAGCATTGCCAAAAGAGCCAGGAAGACCAGACCAGCCACAACAATCCTGATGGAACTCTCCACAGTATAGTTCTGGAGAACAGGGGCTGGAGGGTGGGGGTAAGATCAGAGACCTTTCCATGTGGGCCAGGCCCCTCTCTCCCCAGAAGCTCTGAAATGGAGCTATTTCCCCATCTCACCTTCATAAAATTCTTCCTGTCCAGAACCCCTCTTCTCCCTATATCATCATGAGCACCTTCAGAAGTCTTTTGCCACAAAAAGAAATTTCTTTTGAAGATATACATTTTTTTGTACATTTCAAAAATGTTCCCAAACTAATTCTCCAAAGCAATAAATGTTTGTGTGTATTGCTGGGTAGGTTATGCATACAAGGAAAGGAAGCATAGTGAGTCTGATTTGGCAGAGGAAACATATGTGGAAATTATATCATTTACTCTCTTTACAAAATTAAGTACAAAATTGAAAACACTGGTAAGAAAGAATGAGCTATAGAGAAAGAAAACATCTGAGATGCTTGTTTCCAAGATGGCTGACTAAATGCTTTTCTGGCATGTCTCATCCACTTAGAAGAACGAGCAGAATCCAGAACAAAAACCATATGATCATCTCAATAGACATAAAGAAAAGCATCTGAAAAGAAATTCAACATCCTTACCTGATGAAAACCCTCAAAAACTTAGGCATAGAAAGAACATACCTCAAAATAATAAAAGCCATAGATGACATATCTAGAGTCAACATCATACTGAACAGGAAAAGTTAAAAGCACTCCTCTGAGAACTGGCACAAGACAAGGACACGGACATCCACCACTTCCTATCAACATAGTACTGGAAGCCTTGTCAGAGCTATTGGGCAACAGGAAGAATTAAAAATCCAAATTAGAAAAGAGGAAGTAAAATTATTTTTATTTCTGATGCTATGATCTTAAATCTAGAAAATCCTAAAGACCCTGCCAAAAATTCTTATGATTGATAAATGAACTAAGTAAAGTTTCAGAATACAAAATCAATATGTAAAAGCCGGTAGCATTTCTCTACACCTATAATGATCTAGCTGAGAACCAAATCAAGAAGGCAATGCCGTTTACAATAGATACGCAAAATTAAAACACTCAGGAATACATTTAACCAAGGTGGTGAAAGATCTGTACCAGGAAAGGTGTAAGACACCAATGAAAGCAATTATAGATAATACAAAAAAAAAAAAGAAAAAAAATCTCACGCTCATGGATCATAAGAATTAATATTGTTAAAATGACCATACTGCCTAAAGCAATCTACAGATTCAGTGCAATTCTTATATGAAAATAGTAACACCAGTTTTCACAGAATTAGAAAAAGCAATCCTAAAATTCATACAGAACCAAAAAAGATCCTAATAGAGAAAGCAATTCTAGGTGAATGTAGAAACCTGGAGGCATCACGCTATCTGACTTCAAACTATGCTCTAAGGCTATAGTAACTTAAATAGCACAGTGCTGGTATAGACACAGAAACAGAGATCAATAGACCAGAATAGAGAGCCCAGAAATACAGCCTCATATCTACAGTGAATAATCATTGACGACGTTAACAAAACATACACTGGAGAAAGATTTCCTTTTCAATAAAAGGTGCTGGGAAAACTAAATAGCCATATGCAGAAGAATAAAACTGGACCTGTATCTGTAATCATACACATAAATTAACTTAAGGTAATTAGCAGCTTAAATGTAAATCCAGAACTATAAAATCACCGGTGGAAACCCAAAGAGAAACTCTTCTGGGCATTGGTCTGGGCAAAGAATTCATCACTAAGACCTCAAAAGCACAGGCAATAAAAATAAAACTAGACCAATGGGACTTAATAAACGAAAGAGCTTCTGCCAAGCAAAGGAAATAGTAGCAGGGTGAACAGACAACCCACAGAATGAATGGAAATGTTTGCAAACTATGCACCCAACAGAGGACTAACATCCAGAATTTCTAGGCAACTCAAACAACTAAACATAACCCCTCAAATAATAGCATTAAAAAGTGGGCAAAGGGATATACATAGACATTTTTCAAAAGAAGACATACGAATGGCCAAACAGCGTATGAACATCACTAATCATCAGAGAAATGCAAATTGAAACCACAATGAGATATCATCTTACAGTAGTCAGAATGGCTATTACTAAAAATGCTGGTGGGGAGTGGTGGCTCACGCTTGTAATCCCAGCACTTTGGGAAGCTGAGGCGGGTGGATCATGAGGTCAGGAGTTTGAGACCAGCCTGACCAACATAGTGAAACCCCATCTCTACTAAATATACAAAAGATTAGCTGGGCATGGTGGTGTGGTTCTGTAATCCCAGCTACTCAGGAGGCTGAGGCAGGAGAATCATTTGAACCTGGTTGGTGGAGGTTGCAGCGCGTGGAGATGGCGGCACTGCACTCCAGCCTGGGTGACAGTGGAAGACTCCATCTCAAAAAGAAAAAAAGAAAAAGTGAAACATATAACAGGTGTTGGCAAGGATGCAGAGAAAAGGAAACTCTTATACACTGTTGGCCGGTATGTAAATTAGTATAGCCTCTATGGAAGACAGTATGGAAATTTGGCAGAGAACCAAAAATAGAAGCACCATTCGATCTAGGGGTCCCGCTGCTGGGTATCTACTCAAAAAATATCTGCACCTGTATGTTTATTGCAGCACTGTTTGCAATAGCAAAGATATGAAATCAATCTAAGTGTCTGTGAATGAATGATTGGATTAAAAAAAGGATGCGTGTATACACAACGAAATACTATTTGGTCATAAAAATAAAACCATGTCTTTTGCAGCAACATAGATGGAGCTGGACGCCATTATTTTACATAAAACCACTCAGAAAGACAAATACCACATCTTCTCACTCTACATGGGAGGGGAGTAATGTGTACATATGGACGTAGAGTGTGGAATGACGGACAGCGGAGGCTAGAAGGCTGGAGGGTGGCGGGACGTGGGTGAGTGATGAGAATTTGCTTAATGAGTACAATGTACGGTATTTGGGTGATGGATATAGTAAAAGTCCTGACTTCACTACTCTGCAACATACTCATGTCACAAAATTACAAGTGTACCTCATAAATTTATACTAATAGAAAAGAAAGTCTGTACACAGTAATCAATTGTGATATGTAGATAAAGTCAATATTAAATTTAAACCAGAATAACTAGTTAAAATGTTGTGTACACAACAGTGAAGAGAGTATTTATCCTCTATGACAGAGGAAACCATCAATATTAATGCACAGAAAAAGCAAATAACTGAAACAAGAAAGAGCAGTTTTGTGACAGGGTAAAAATTGACAACAGTTTTAGAATGCTCCTAACTTGAGTTCCAAAAAGAAAGAACGAGAAAACAGGTCAGAAGCAATCTTTAAAGAGGCAATTGTTGATTATTTGGAGGAAGTAGACACATCCATCAATCCACAGGTTCAAGAAATCCAGTGAATGCCAGGCAGAATGAAGTAAACACACCTCACGTTCAACATTACAGAAAAGCAGCATAAAAGCACAACCAACCCTTAAAATTAGCCAGAGGAAAAGGATCAGCTGGTAAGGATTTATAGGGAGCCAAGCATTGTCTTCCCCACAGAAAAAAGGAAAACATAAGCCAGTAGAATAGCATCTTTACCCAGCTAAGATACCGTCGCCAGCCACCGACAATTCCTTACATAGTACAGTTACTGTCCAAGATCAACGCAGGAAAGAAACAGAACTGAAAGACAAAAGGGCAAAGAAAGCTTTTCTCACTGACCCTAAAGGAAATTCTGATGACCGTGCCTCAAAGATAAAGAAAGTGAAACCAGATGGGGTGTCGAAGATTCTGACAATAACTAAGAGCAGAGGAAGAACTAAAAATATGGCTATGCCAAAAATGAATATGGACCATACGATAGTGTATGAAAACACGCCCCTGTGTAATTTCTGAAAAAGATAGAATTATGTATACCACAAAACAAAACATCATATAAGTAAATACAAACATATGTACTAAATATGCTCTAAAATCCTGTTCTTACACAGGAAGAGTGGAAATATGTTTTTATATTTGCAGTTTAATCTCTGAAATGATTAATTTCAATTTTAAAAATATGTAACAACTTCAGGATGAGTACACCATATATGTATTCCTAAACGACATAGATCAAAAATAGAATGTTTGAAATAGAAAACCACAGAAGTCAGTGGGAAAAAAAGGGAATCAGGAAAACACAACGTAATAATAACAAAAATATGATTGGAAGAACTGCTCAAACATGAACAAAAGATTGTCAGAAAGTCTTACTTTCTAAGGCGAATTGTTTGAAATTTACAAAGGACACATCTCAATGTTAACAATTCATGGAGTTTGAAATTAAACAATGTAGAAATATACCAAGCAATCACTGTTAGAAATGTGGTATAACTATATTAAAATTAGACAAAATTAGTCTTTGGGAAAAATCAGCGGAAAACATTAAGCATAAAATGTAGGAAAAAAGCAGGTAAATTTATAGCATTTTAAATTTACCAGGAATATATAATCAGTTTACACTTAACCACTCCCAGTAATATTCCTGCAAATATACATGGAGGAAGAGTCGCGGAAATAAATGGACAGGTAGGCAAATCCACGGCCACAGTGGGGTGTTTAACACTCCTCTTTTCTCAGTTGTTGATAGAAGTGGTTCAGGCAATTAGAGAGGATTTAGAAAGATAATTGCTGGACCTGACCCAAGGTATAAGTCCACTCCCAACCACAGGACTCACTTTCCTTACAAGCACAAGGGCATTTAGAAATCTCTCTGGATTCTGACCAGCCCTCACCATATGGCAGGTCCATGGACTTCTTGGAACACACCAAGCTCATTCTCACATTAGGGTCATCCCCAATGTCCTAAGTCCATGAAAGTTCCTTTCAACACACTCCCCAGGGCTCACTCCCTCTTGTCTCTAAGATCGGAGTTTAAATGTGATCTCTCTGATGAGGTCTCAGTGAGACGTTCCCTCCTGTACACTCCAAATGACAACGTTCCACGTTCATTCATTTCATTCTGTGCATGGCACTTTCACCAAGTGCTAAGGATTCACTCACTAATTCATACATTCATTCATTCATTCACTCATTCCATCATTCACTCATTCATTCATTCTCTCATTCATTCATTCATGTTCTGCCTCTCTCTCCCACCCCACAGCAATGTGAGCATCATGAACCCAGGAGCTTGGCCGTGCTGTCTACTCCTGGCCGTGAAACAGAGAGAACTGATGGTAGGTGTGAAATAAATATTAGATGAATGAGTTAGTGAAGGGGTCATTTACTGGGTGAGCTCAGTTCTCTCTACTCTAATGCCCTCCCTCGGCTGACTTCCCTGAGTTGCCCCCTCGGCTGAGTGAAGTCCCTTCACTGGCAAATGGAACCTCAACCAGTAGCACCTAGGTGGTCTCATACTTTGTTCTTTCCCTCTCCTCTTGCTCCCTAAGGATTATCAATCTCCATGACAGGGCTGGAGAGCAGACAAGCCACACATTCTTTCTGGGGAGAGAGTAACATGGAGTACAAGGCATTCCACATTTAGGAAGAGAACTCAGTTATGGAAGGTCAGAAATGAAAAGTTCCTACAGACCAACACCCAGGTTGGTGGCCACAGCCCTAAATGCTGATGGAGAATCACTGCAAGTCTGTAGGGAAGATGTCTGGCTTGAGGCCACTGAGCGAAGTGGCAGATCCTTCTCAGCCTTCAGTGCTGAGCCTCTGTCCCCTCAGGGATCCACTGACCAATGAGAAGAGCCTCTTCTCATCTCCTGGGATGGAGCTTGGGGCCCCTGGCGAAGGAATGGGCCTGTTTCCACCTGTCATGTTGTCATCTAGCTTGGAAATCCTGCGAGTCCCAGGGAGGCCCTCCCCGAGTCCCCAGAGAAGACTCCCCCACTGAGTCTCCAAGGTGTGGAGAGAGCAAAAAACATCTAGGGTGGAAAATGCCTCCCATCAAGAGACATTGGGGCTCCCCCAACGATGGTTGCATCTGTGCCCCCCATGTGGAAATCACTCTTTGGTGAGAGGTGGGGGCTTCTGGAAATGGGCAATGGCGGGCGGCCAATGCTACCTCTAGTCTTTCCAATCTGAGCCCGGCCTTTCATGCTCCTGAGTCAGCATTGATGCTGTTTACATGTGTCCCAGGTGGGCTTCTGTACAAAGACTGGGAAGTGGTTTATGTGGCCTGTGCTCTATCTGCAAGCTTCAGGTAGGGTTGCAGTTACCACCCCAAACCCTAATGTGATCTGTCTGCCTCGCTCTGTCTGTCTGTCTATGCCTCTTTCTGTATGTTTGCTTTGTGTCTCTTCTATCCAGCGTCTCTGGCTGACACCCCCATGGCCACCCCCTCCATCTGAGGCTCCCCTGAATGTGGCCATTGTAGTCCGTCTGAGTCCCACTATTTGGGGAACAGACTGGTTTCCTCACCTGTGACAGAAACAAGCAGTGGGTCACTAAGGTCTGACCACTCGTAGGGAGAGTCACGGAAAGAGCCGAAGCATCTGTAGGTCCCTCCGTGGGTGGCAGGGCCCAGAGGAAAGTTGGCCTGGAAGGTTCCATTGACCTTGGGCACTGCAGGGAACCTAAGTTCATGAGCCTCCCCCTCCCTTGATAGATGGTAGATGTCATAGGAGCTCCGGGAGCTGCAGGACAAGGTCACGCTCTCTCCTGCCTTAACCATGGGGCGCGGCTGGGCTGAGAGAGAAGGTTTCCCACATAGACCTGGAAGGAGAAGAGGCAGTTTCCTCAGGGAGGTTCTTCCTTGTCACAACTCCCCTCCCACCTGAGCTGAGAACTCACTCCCCTGCTCTATGGCCTAATGCTCTCTCTCTCTGTCTCACCCTCCACACCATCTCTCTTTATGTCTATTTCCTCTTTCCACCTTCTCTGTCTCTCTAGGTCTCTGACCTCACTTTCTCACCTCTAGATATGTTTTCCCTTTTTGGATTGTTTTATTCTCTCTGACTCTCCTTGGACTAGTTGACTTGATGTTACTTTTTTTAAATTCTGAGTTTCTCACTTTGTGTCCTGTTCATAACTTTCTGCATATTTCTATCTATTATCTATCGATATATCTATTTATCTATCTGGTGCCTATCTACAAATTCTCTACCTGTCATCTATATCTATATATAATCTATTTATCTATCAATTGTCTATCCAAAAATCATCTATTATCTATATCTATGTATCATCTCTCTCTCTCTATGATTTCTCTTTGTCTGCCTCTCTATCTCTATGTATTATCTATCTATCTTCATCTTCATCATCTCTATGTATCATCGATTAATCAATGAATGAATCGATCATCATCTATGTATCTATAACCTATTATCTATCATCTACCTATTTATCATCTATCTATATCTATCCATCTATCATCTGTCTTGCTCTGCCTCTCGGTCTCTCTAGTTCTCTTTGGAATCTCTGCAATTCATCCCCACATCTCCATCTTTCTATGTCCTTGTGTCTCTCCCTCAGGACTCTAATTTTAGTGCTTTTCTCTGTTCCCTTCCATTGTTCTCTCCACTTCTCTGCCCTCTTTTCTCCCTCTTTATGTGTCTGTGAGTCTCTCAATCTCCTTCCTCTGGCTCATTCTCTGTGTGTTTATGTCTTTGCTTTTTGGTGTCCCTGATTTCTCTCTGTGTCTCTCAGTGATCCTCTCATATGTGGGGTTATTTGGAATGTGAGCCTCAGAATCCAGTCTGGGGACCGCAAGTTCACACAGTATACAGGGGTTGATGTTCTGGGGCCATGATATCCTGGGACGATTACTCTCCATTGCATGGAAGGCAGAGGTGTCAGAATAAACACGGCATCTGTAGGTGCCAGAAGGCCTGAGGCCACAGGGCCCAACTCAGGCCAGAAATATGGGTGTCCTTGGGTTCTTCTGGTAGAGAACACTTTGTGGAAGTAAAACAGAAATGAAACTTCTAACCTGTGCCAGGTCTCTGAGCAAAGTCAGCATGGAAGGACACCTCTCTCTGGCACATGTCTGTCTGTGTCTCCTTTAACTCTTTCTGTCTTTTCTAACTCCCTGTATGGCCCCTGTGTCTGTCCTCTGTTATGACACCTGGTCTGTACTTGTGTCTCCTGTTTCTCTGTCTCTGTTGGTACAGACCTCACCAAGTTAGTCTCTCTCCATAAGAATACCAAGCTCATCTTCCTTATAACCACCTGGGCCTCCAAGTCGTGGATCATTCACTCTGTGTCCCAGTGACAATGAGAATAATGTCCAGACACTCTCACCTGTAATCACGATGTCCAGAGGGTCACTGGGAGCTGACAACTGATAGGGGGAATGAGGAACAGAACCGTAGCATCTGTAGGTCCCTGCAAGGTCTTGCGTCATGCGACCGATGGAGAAGTTGGCCTTGGAGACCCCATCATGGAGCTCTCCAGTGAGGCGCAAAGTGTCATTAAACTTCCCCTCTCTGTGCAGAAGGAAGTGCTCAAACATGACATCTGACCAACATTGCAGGATGACTGTCTCTTCTGATTTCACCAGGGGACCTGGGTGGGCCAGGAGGGAAGGTTTTCTGTGGACTCCTAGGAAGAGAGGTTGTGACTTTAGAAGGCATCTCTCTTTATCATCCCATCCATGGCACCTAGAATGAGTGAGGCTTCCCCTCGCTGGTGTCTTATCTCTCTCCTTCCTCTCTGTGTCTTCATGTTCTTTTCTGTGCCCATAACTCCTGGTACAGGTCCTTCCATCTGTCTCCCTCCCTCTTCTCTGTCCCTCTGTCTCTAGTAGCTCCTGATTCCCTTGCCGCTGGGCTCAGCCTCATCTCTTGGGCTGTTGTATCTATTTCGAACTAATGTCTTTCCTGCTTCTATGTGGGGGTGGAAGAGGAACCAGGATAGGCTGCACGTCCAGGCTCTTAGCAGACTGGTTCAATCTCTTTTGGACGAATTGGAATCCTTGGCAGAAGGTATGAACTGATCAGTAAGGCAGGCACCAGTGTCCACACACCCTGTTCCTGGTGGGGACTGGGAGCCACTCTTGCCATGCCTGTGCCTTCTCCATGGTGCCAGCTTCCATAGGCTGGCTTCTGGTGCTGGTTTGAGGAGTATCAACCCCTCCCTATGTGGATGGAGCCTGGTGGTGGCATCATCATCCCACCCTTGCTGATCTCGGTGTAGCCAACCTTCTCTTTGTTTGGTTTCTTTAATTAATTAATTAATTTTGGAGTCAGAGTCTCACTCCTTCACCCAGGCTGGAGTGAAGTGGTGTGGTCTAGGCTCACTGCAACCTCTGTCTCCTGGGTTCAAGTGATTCTCCTGCCCTCAGCCTCCTGAGTTGCTAGGATTACATGCACCTGCCACCACGCCCGGCTATCCTTGTGTCCTTTCTTATCTTGTCCTTGACCTGGGTTCCAGTGTTGGTTTCCTGTTGGTGCTGTGGAAAATTATCAGAAGCATGGCAGCAGGAGAGAGCACACTGACCCCTTCCGTTTCTGGAGACAGAAATCGGACCCTGTTTTTTGAGGGCTAAAATCAAGGCATCTGCAGGGCTGCGTTCCCTCTGGAGACCCAGGAGAATCAGTTCCTTGACTTTTCCAGCCTCTATAGGCCACCTGCATTCATGGCTCATGGCCTTCCTCCACCTTCAAAGCTGATGGAGACTTCCATTGCACTGCTCTAATCGCCACTCCCCTCTTCCTTCTCCTCTCATGTGCACCCTTGTGATTACACTGAGCCCAGCAGGACAGTCCAGGCTGTCTCCCCATCTCAAGGTCAACTCAACAACCTGAGCTCCATCTTCCCCTTCAGTGCCTTCCCCTATAACATAAATAGTCACAGACTGCAGGGATTAGAATGCAGTCATCATTGGGGACAATTATTCTTTCCACCACAGCACCCATTTCCCTGTATTCAATCCCCTTTTACCCCAAATACAGTTAGGGTCTGGATGATGGGACGCTGGTGGACACTCCCACCAGAAGCTCTGGGACTCAGGAGGTGGGACAAGGAGAATCCCAGACAGGAGCCCTCTGACCTGTGACCATGATCACCAGGGGGTTGCTGGGTGCTGACCACCCAGTGAGGAAGTGTGGGTGTGAACCCCGACATCTGTAGGTCCCTGCATGTGCTGGGGTCACAGGGCCTATGAAAACGGTGTTTCGGAATACTCTGTTGTAGAGCTCAGGGACAGGCATCCCGTCTTCTTTGGACAGACTGAATTCGTTAAACCCAAGACGAGAGCGACACTGAAGAGCCACATGTTCTCCTTCAGACACCACAGGGCTGGGCCAGGCAGAGAGGAAGGGCTTGTCCTGACCACCTGGGGGAGAAGGAGGCGCCACCTTAGAGAGGAGGATGTGGCACTCCCTCCCTCTATTCCTTTCCAGGACTCACCAACACACGCCATGCTGACGACCATGAGCGACATGGTGCTGCCGGTGCAGACAGGCGGCCGCGCCCCAGCTCAGCTCAGCAGCGCACAGGATGTTATTTGGCGCCCTGCCCATGCAGCTTACATGTTGACTACATCATGGGAGGGTGACGTACGCAGGCTCTTTCTACCTTGCATGAGGCCCAGTGGATGCTTGCTCAAGAGCGGAACACGGCTTCCTGGAAATTGTTCTCACTAGAATTGGCACCTCACGTCCTTCACTATGACCAACTCACAACACGTCTCAGATCCAACCTCCCGAACACAAGATGCCTAAAATCTGTGCTAACGTGAAAGACTTTTCATGTATTTTTATCCGAACACGAGATGCCTAAAATCTGTGCTAACATGAAAGACTTTTCATGTATTTTTTTTGTTTTTATCTGAGATTCAAACTCTTCTTCCTGTGTAATATGCAAAGTATCTAATAGGTATTATTAATGTTTTCGGAGTCATTGTGACTAATAAACCATTAGAATTTTTCATGCTTGTATTTCTAGTATTACAGCAGAACCAGCTAAAATGATTTAAATTCCCAGGGAAGGATTATGCAATTATTTACAATCTTAGAATTGTACTTTATCAGCAAAAACCACACCTGTAAATTCTGGAGTTTTGTAGTTTAATCTAAAATTTGTCTCATGACCCAAGATTCCAGAGTCCCAACTCTGGAGTTTGCTCTCTGTCTGTCTCTCTCCCTCCCTCGTTTTAAATTTTACAGAAATATCCAGTAACATAATGCTATAGAAAATCAAGTTTTCCCCAGCACGTTGGGAAGCCGAGGTGGGCGGATCAACTGAGATAAGGAGTTTGAGAGCAGCCTGGCCAATATAGTGAAACCGTGTCTCTGTTAAAAATCCAAAAATTAGCCGTGCCTGGTGGCAGGCACCTGTAACGCCAGCTACTCAAGAGGCTGAGGCACGAGAATCGCTTGAACCTGGGAGGCGGAGGTTGCAGTGAGCTGAGATTGTGCCACTGCAGTCCAGCCTGGGCGACAGAGCAAGACTCCGCCTCAAGAAAAAAAAAGCAAACAGCCTATAATAACAAATTAGAGGGCTCTGGCTACTAAATTTAAAGGGTTCTATAAGGCTACATAAAGTGCAGCATCATCAAGAGTGTGGACACAGAGAGCCCCTTAGCAGAAACAGTGTCTAAAATACATCCATGTACACACAGTCCCTTTAGAGTTGACAAAGGCTGCCGTGTGGTTTAAGGTGGCATAGAATGTCTTCTCAATAAATAATATTAAACCAATTGGTTACACCTAGGAAAAAATAAATCTAACTCACACTATAAAAACACTTCTTAGTTTTTATCTAGTTGTACATTTTTTATGATTTATATTTAAATTTGAGAAATAAAAGTCATATACGGTCATCCTTCACTATTCGTGGGTGATTGGTTTTGAGATCTCCACTCAGATACCAAAATCTGTAGATGCTCAAGCCTCTTATATGAAATGGCACAGCGTTTGCAAATAACCTATGCACATCCTCCTGTATACATGAAATCATCTCTAGATTACTTATAATTCCTGATACAGCCTACACACAGCTTCATTTGTGTCCATTCAACATAGTTATGCTTTTTGAAACTCTGTGGATACTTTCTCTCAATATTTTTGATTTATACTTGGTTCAATAAACACCTGTAAACCCCGCAGATATGGAGGAGTGACCGTATATTTATATTATGAAAGATGATGTGTTGATATGTGTCCCCATGGAGATGAGACTAACAAGGCCTATGATTCTACAAATGTTTCATTGTGGAATGACTCTGCCAGCTTTCCAGGTCTGCAGAGAGTAAGAGTATCACTTGTTCATATGATTCGTGATCCTTGGAACCTCCTATGTGCTACATCTTTGGATGGAAATTGGAGTCCCAGAGACAAATGAGGCTCCACCCTGCTTCCAGAAACTCAGAGTCCGGGGATGAGAACTCAGTGGGGAACAGATGGGATTATATGGACATGGTACTGATAACACCGGAAGCCTTAGGCAAGAAAAGAGTCCCATTACCGAAACCATGGGGGCAGACATGTTTATTTGAAGGATGGAAAACTACATTGAAGTTATTTTAAAAAATATATAAGTTTTACTGCTGACAGAAGACTGAAAGCTAGTCTGAGGGGAGGTGGAACAGCATGAGGGAAGGTGGAACAACACGTGTCTAAGTGCTGCGTTAAGAGGGAGCCTCTTGTATGTTTGGAATTGTGAGTTCCTCAGTGTGATTGCAGCCTCAAGTAGACTAGGAAGTAAGCCAGTTAGGTTGGAGAGGTGGGCAGGGGTCAAGTGAAATGGAGAACTGTGGGTTAAGCAAAGGAGTGTGTTTTTTCTCCAGCAGGCAGTGGGGACCTTAGACATTTGTAAGCAAGTGAGAGGCACATTCAGATTTGTGGTGTGAGGAAGATCGATGCCCTAAGATGCAGACTCACGCCTTCAGATTCCAGCTGCTGGTACATGGGAGCTGGCAACCCGGTTTTGAGACAGGGCTGTTGTCTCCCTAGAAGACGCCCTCAAGGCCTGACTGTGGTGCTCATGGGCAGGAGACAACTTTGGATCTGGACTCAGCATTTGGAAGTTCCGTGTACACGATGATATCTGTTGGGGGTGTCTTGGGCCTCTGAGAAGGGCGAGTGATTTTTCTCTGTGTGAAAACGCAGTGATTCAACTGTGTGTATGTCACCTCCTGAGGGTCTTGTTCATCAGAGTCCTGGAGAGAGGGAAATGCTGAGTGAGGGAGGGTGCTCACATTTTCCAGGACTCTTTGGGAATAACAGTAGCCACGAGCCCGGGCCGAGGAGTACCTACCTCGCTATTCGCTGTTCTGTTTCCTGCAGACTCTTGGTCCATTACCGCAGCATCTGTAGAAGATGGAAGTCAACAAAACAGCTCGGAGGGCACTTCTGGGTCCTCATTTCATAAGCAGATACCAACATACAGGGGGAGACCATAGGTGGCTGAGGTCCCTCAGTTGCCAACAGCAGACTCAGACATTCTATCTCTCTGAGCTCAAGGACCCATCCCATGAATAGCTCTGAGTTCCCATCCCATTGATTCTGTCTCCCACTTTCTGCCTGTCATGGAACCTTCTCCTGGATGTGAGTGGCTGCAGGGGACATGGGGATACAGTTCAGAATCAGGCAACGGTCTGTGAGTTGAAGGCAGGGACAGGGAGTCTGGTGCCCTCTCTAGAAAGTCCTGCCTCTGTGGCTGCTGCCTTGGGCCAGGGACCATCCTGTTTGTGAGGAACACACACCTGAGTGCTCCCATCCTGCTTCCCCACATGGCCCTGAGCTCTCTGGCCTCTGCTTCGTGAGACTTACTTTTTTTGTTGGAGCACCAGCGATGAAGGAGAAAGAAGAGGAGGATGAAGAGGATGATGACCACTGAGGTCCCAATCAGAATGTGCAGGTGTCGGGGGTTACCTGGAAGAAGATGAGACACCAATAAGAAGCTAATCTTAGCAGTTCCTCTTTATGAATTGTCTCGCATTTCTTGATTGACAGGTAACCACATAAAACACCTCTTTAGGACAAGCACCCAGATGGCAGGAGACCCAGCTTTCTCCTGCTTTTTCAGTTATAGCTCTCATAGTAACCATAGAACGTGCTGAGGATACGACTACTTTAGTTGAGATGTTTGACCCCTTCAAACCTCACATTGAAATTTCACCCCCACTGTGGGAGGTTGGGCCTCTTGAGAGGTGTTTGGGTCATGGAGGTGGATCCATCATGAACACATCAATGCTGTCCCAAGGAGACGGGGTTAGCAAGTTCCCCCTCTATTAGTTCCCGGAGAGCTGGTTGTTAAAAAGAGCTTGGAAGCTCCATCACTCCCCCTCCCCCTTGCTCCCTCTCTTGCCGTGTGATCTCTGTGGTCTCTGCACAGACAGACCCTCCTTCCCTTCTGCCAGAGTGGGAGCAGCCTGAGGCCGTCACGAGAAATAGATGCTGGTGCCATGCTTCCAGTACAGCCTGCAGAACGGTGAGGCAAACCAATCTCTTTTCTTTAGAAGTTACCGAGGCTCAAGTGTTCCTTTAGAGCAACAAAAATGGCCTAAGACAGCAACTTCCTGAGATCAGGAGGAACGTCTCAGAACACCCTGGGCTGTCTTCCTGTTCTTCCTGGAGGACGTCATGCAGTGCTTTAGCTGAGTGCTTCCTGTGGCTCCAGGGTACAAAACCCAGGCTGGGCTGCTTTCTGGCTTCCCGCAGCTACACTGCAAATGGGGTGACTCCATATGTCCCGAGGAGCTTTTCTGAGCCTTGAGGGACTGGGTCACATTGAAATATAGGTTTCTGTTGTCACTCGCTGCTTATCTGTTAGTAATGAACCTGCCTATGTAACGTATTCTCTGTGTGTTCTGTCTCCCTGGAGTGACGGTGAGTGATAGGAATTGGCATAGGCCCAGGTGCAGTCCAGGAGGTGTTTAGAGTCTTCTCTGGGAAGACTGGACTGGGATTGATTCACAGCGAATGTGCTTTAGGGTTTCTACATCCACAGCATTCTTGAATCAAACAACTTGCATTCTCCAAGGAAAGAAAACAAAAGTGAAATCAAGATAAAAAAAGCGAAATAGAATTCTCTTATGTCAAACGGCCAGGAAATAGTGTTGAAGCCCGTGTGAAACCTGCTGCTCTTTGTGATCTCGGGAGACACATATTAGGCTGCTGTTCTACCCGAGAGGCTGGGGGAAGGACCACCCCCTCGGCCATCTATTGCTTCAAAACCACCTGTCCTCCTGTGAATTAGTAGGAAAGGGGAGCAGGAGCTAGTGCTGTCGCTGATCTCTGATTCCAAGATCTGGACTCACTCCAAGGAGTGTTAATGTTTACCTCCCCATGGTCTATCTGAATCTCCACAGGTGATTGGAAGTAGGGGTGAGGTGGGGGATTTGGGTGAGTGGGCAAGTTTTTTTTGTGATGACCAGAGCACTTTCTCTATTCCAGGATCTGTGCTGGAGGATTCAGCGGGCTTTCACATTTTCTATATGATCTCATGCTCACAGAAAGCCAAATAGGGAAGAGGTTTTAGGCTCATTGCCTAATGGATAAGATAAAGGATCAAAGAAGTAATTATAGAGAAATAGAAAAACGATGATTGGAATTCAGGTGCCTTTGTCATTCGTGTGTGTTTTATTATATTTATGTATTTCTTATTTTTATTTTTTGAGATAGAGTCTCCTTGTGTCCCCCAGGCTGGAGTGCAGTGATGCAATCTCCACTCACTGCAACCTCCACCTACTGGGTTGAAGTCATTCTCCTGCTTCATCCTCCAGAATAGGAGCTGGGATTACAGGGATGCACCATCGTGCTCGGCTAATTTTTGTATTTTTAGTAGAGATAGGGTTTCACCACGTTGGCCAGGCTGGTCTGGAACTCCTGACTTCATGGAATCCACCCACCTTGGCCTCCTGCAGTGCTAGGTTACAGGCGTGAGCCACTGTTCACAGACTTGTATATTATGCTATAATAAGTCTCTTCATTTCCACCACCACTCATATATCTGTCACTCCTTTGCCAGGTATTGATTTATGTGTAGGATGAATAAATCTCAGAAAGAAATTAATTAAGCGAGGATTAAACAAGTAGGAAAATCAAACCCAGTAAGCCTTTCCAGTCAATGATTCTACCTCACAAACATATCTTATATCCATCTACTTCATTCATTTAGTGTCTAAATCAGCACCACATTTCACCAGTGGGGCGGCAATTGCCTTTTCCACGGTCTCCTAGATTCCAGTTATGCACCTGGGCCTCCCTTATTTTCATGTCAGTCATATTAATCATGTAGGGATTCCTGGTTACCCCGAGGTGAATCCAATGGCTGTGAGTGTCAAACACACACTCCTTGTTGCTCCTTAGTTTCCTGTGTACCCAGTGTGCTCTCCGTCTCTCTACAGTCGTCTTGTCATTCTCCCCACCTCATTCCCAGCATTTGAGTCAGAGCCTCTTCCTTCCACATCAGATTGTTTTCACCTTTGTGCCTTCATGGCTGACAGCTGTGTGTGCAAAATCCTTCCGCCAATCTTTCAGGGGTTCATTCCGTGTTTTTCATTAATGTCACAAATATCTGAATAGTGAGACCTTCTTTGTCACCTGAAATCATACACTCAGCATTATCTATTATTGATTTTGAATTCTGGCTGGGCACAGTGGCTCACGCCTGTAGTCCCATTACTTTGGCATGCTGAGACGGTCGGATCACTTGAGGTTGGGAGTTTCAGACAAGCTTGGCCAACGTGGTGAAACATCCTCTCTACAAAAAATATACAAAAAGAATTAGCCGGGCACGGTGGCAGTTGCCTGTAATCCCAGCTACTCGAGAGGCGGAGGCAGGAGAATCACTTGAATCCAGGAGACGCAGGTTGCAGTGAGCCAAGATCGTGACACTGCACTGTAGCCTGGAAGACAGAGGGCGACTCTGTCTCAATAAACAAAAGAACAAACAAAAAATAGATTTCATGCACAGATGCTTCCCAATGGACCATTCATTTATAGATCCACTTGTGCGTTCATTTTCTGCCCTCCCATTTAACCATCTGCAATATCAGTGTCCCAAGGGCAGAGGCCAAATGCATCTTGTTCACTGTTTGTGGAAGGCAGGAGAATGCTGTCCCACCCCAAAATGTCCCTGTCCTAGCCTCCATAGCTTGTGAATATGTTATTTTACATGGAAAGGAGGAATGAAGATTGCAGATGGAATTATGGTTGCTAATCAGCTGAACTTAAAACAAGGGTATCCTGGATGATTTCCAGGAGATTATGAGGGATTTTCATCTTGGTGAACCCAATAGAATCCCCAAGTTTTCAAAAGATGAGGAAGAAGGGAGAGCAGCACTCAGAGAAAGAGGTGTGGTAAGGAAGAAGGCACTGAGTGATGCCATGTGAGATGTGACCAGTCTTTGTGGGCTTTGAGGAAGGAGGAAGGGGACCAGGAGCCAAGGAACTGGGAGCCTTTAGAAGCTGGGACAAGTGAGAAGCAGATTCGTGCCTGGAATCCTCAGAGGGAAGGCAGCCTTGCTGTCACCTTGATTTTAGCCCAGTAAGATGCACTTCCTACTTTGAGCTACAGCACTGTAAGATAATTAAAAAACCGTTTTGTTTTCACCCACGAATCTTGTGGAAATTTGTTATGGCAACAATAGGAAAAGGTTCCACACTGCACAGCCTGAGCATGGGGCCGTGGCTGAATGAGTCAGTGAGTCGAAGTGTGCGTGCATGAGCTCTGTTCTCTGTTACGGCAAGGCTCTTTCTCTGCGGAGTCAGCCAGGGTTGCTTCATGACCTACAGGAGCTCATTCCTTGGCAAGTGGAACTTCTCTAAAACACCTTGCCCTCATCAGATGTTCCCTTCCCTTCCCTCTCTCAAGTCTCCAGGAATTTATCCTCCAGTTAGGAATGCAGGTAGAACAAACATTGCATTTTTCCTGAGAAGGATGTCAGATTGGCAATCATTCTTCTAGCTTGTAGGAGGTCTCAGCTCCATAAAATGAGAGATGAAGAGATTTCACTGAGCCCTGTGTTGGGCCCAGATCCCTTTCGCTGTAGGAGTATCTGGAGTTCGGAGATGGTGGAAGACAAGTGTACAATGTCAGAGCTGTGAGATGCTGAGTCAACGCCTGAATCCAAGGTTCCCACCTCCCCAGGGTTCCAAAAGCGGATATAAGAGGGTTCTGTACTCACCGGTTTTGGAGCTTGGTTCAGTGGGTGAAGGCCAACTATTTGAAGGGTTTCCTAGAACATGAGACAGGAGAGAGGTGAGGAAATGAGGGTGTCTGTCCTCCACTCAGTGGAAATCTTTGAGGATGGTTCATGGCCAACACTCTCTTATCTAATATTGAGCCCTGGGAGTCCTGGGATCCTTTTTTCCATAATTTTTTTATATGACACCCACTGTCTTGAGACTTCAAGATATAAAGAGAAAACAGGAGCATCACACTACCTGATCTCAAAATATGTTACAGAGCTGTAGTAAGCAAAATAGCATGACATTGGCATAAAGAAAGGCACATAGAACAACGGAGCAGAATGAATAACACAGATATATTCCATGCATTTACATCCAATGGTTTTTTATTTTTTCTTTTGAGATGGAGTCTTGCTCTGTCACTCAGGCTGGAGTGCAGAGGTGCAATCTCGGTTCACTGCAACCTCAGCCTCCTGGGTTCAATCATTCTCTTGCCTCAAATTCCTGAGTAGTGGTATTACAGGTGCTGACCACCATGCTCAGCTAATTTTTATATTTTTAGTGGAGACGATGTTTCATCACGTTGGCCAGACTAATCTTGAACTCCTGGCCTCAGGTGATCCACCCACCTCGGGCTCCCAAAGTGCTGAAATTGCAGGTGTTAGCCACCAAGCCCAGCCCATCCAATGGACTTTGACAAAGATGCCAAGAACTCACAATCAGGAAAGGACAGTCTTTTCAATAAACAGTGCAGGGAAACCTGGACATCTACATGCAGAGGAATGAAACTGCAACTCTACCTGTCACCATACACAAAAATCAAATGAAAATGGATTAAAGATGTGAGTCTAAGGCCTGAACCTATGAAACACGTAGAACAAAATATTGGGGAAATGCTCCAGGACGTTTGTCTGAAGGAAGACATTTTGTTTTAAACCTTCAAAACACAAGTAATCGAAGCAAAAATAGACCATTGGGATTACCTCAAACTAAGCAACTTCAGCACTGCTAAAAATAAACCAACAAAGTGAAGAGACAACCCACAGATTGGGAGCAAATATGTGCAAACTATGCATCTGAGATGGGATTAATAACTAGAAATATAAGAAGCTCAAACAACTCAATAAAACAAATGATTTAATTGAAAAAGGAGCAAAAGACATGAAATTTCCCCACATACGAAAAAGTGCTCAGTATCACTCATCATCAGAGAAACGCAAATTAAAATCAAAGTGAGTTTTCATCTCACCCCATTAAAATGGCTTTTAGGCCGGGTGAGGTGGCTCACTTGTGTCATCCTAGAACTTTGAGAACCTGAGGTGGGTGAATCTCATAAGGTTGGGAGTTTGAGACCAGTCTGACCCACATAGAGAAACGCTGTCTCTACTAAAAATACAAAAATTAGTAGGGCGTGGTGGCGTGTGCCTGTAATTCCAGCTACTCGGGAGGCTGAGGCAGGAGAATCGCTTGAACCTGGGAGGTGGAGGTTGTGGTGAGCCGAGATAGCGCCACTGCACTCCAGCCTGGGTGAGAAGAGCAAAACTCCATCTCAAAATAAAATGAAATAAAATAAAATGGCTTTTAGCTGCAAGACAGGCAAAAGAAATGCTGGCAAGGTGGTAGAGAAAGGAGAACCCTGGTACCCTGTTGGGAGGAGTGTAAATTAGTACAGCCATTACGGAGAAAAGTATGGAAGTCCTTTAAAGAACTAAAAAGAGGTTGGGTGAGGTGGATCATGCCTGTAATCCCGGCACTTTGGGAGACTGAGGCGGGCACCTCAGTTGAGGTCATGAGTTTGAGAGCAGCCCAGCCAACATGGGGAAACCGCATCTATACTAAAAAAACCAAAAAGTAGCCAGGCATGGTGGTGTGCACCTGTAATCCCAGCTACTAGGGAGGCTGAGGCAGGAAAATCATTTGAACCCAGGAGGCGGAGGTTGCAATGAGCCAAGGTTGCACCACTTTGACTCCAGCTTGGGCTAAGGAGGGAAACTCTTTCTCAAAAAAGAAAAAAAAAAAAAAAAGAGAACTTTCATAGTATCCAGCAATTTCACTACTGGGTTTATATCCAAAGGAAAGTAAATCAACATATCGAAGTGATATCTGCACTCGTATGATTGGTGCAGCACTGTTCACAGTAGCCAAGATGAGGAGTCAACCTACCTGCCCATCAGTGGGTGAATGGATAGAGAGAATGTAGTACATACGCACAGTGGAGACTACTCATCCATAGAAAGAATAACATCCTGTCATTTGCAGCCACATGGATGGAACTGGAGGTCATTAAAAAGATTCCCATTTCTCACCCATATACAGGAGCTAAAAGGTGGATCTCATGAAGGTAGAGAGTAGAATGGTGGCTACTGGAGGACAGGAAGAAAAGGGTGGAGGGTAAAAAAAATGTATATATATATATATATAAAAATGTATTTATGACCACTAGACTTTACACTTAAAAATGGTAAATGTGGCTGGGCCTGGTGGCCCATGCCTGTAATCCCAGCACTTTGGGAGGCTGATGCGGGTGGATCACGTGGTCAGGAGTTCGAGACCAGCTCGACCAACATGGTGAAACCACCTCTCTACTAAAAATACAAAAAGTAGCCTGGCGTGGTGGTGCGTGCCTGTAGCACTAGCTACTCAGGTGGCTGAGGCAGGAGAATCGCTTGAACCCAGGAGGCGGAGGTTGCAGTGAGCTGAGATTGTGCCACTGCACTCCATCATAGGGGACAGAGCTAGACTCCACCTCAAAAAAAAATGTTAAAAGTGGTAAGCTATATAGGTATATTTATCCTCAATAAATATTTCTTCAAAGAAAAGTAAAGGGTGTAGGGGTTGCTGGTGATGACATCTCTGTGTGGGTGAGAGGCCAGGATGGGCTTCTGGGAAATGGGTAAGGTTGAGGGGCTGAGGGAACCTCTGATCTCCCCAAACTGAGCCCAGTCTCCCTCCTCTGGGTCTCTCCTGACCGCTTTCTCCATCTGCCTGGGTGCCTGGAGCCCTGGCCGTGGGCCTCCATGCAGGCCATGTAGGAGGGTTTGGAGGTGCCCTGTCGGCCATCCTGTGCCCTGATCCCTCCCTCACACCGAGGCTGCGTCTTCTCTCTGCATCTGTCCATGCTTCTCTCCATCCTCAGCAGGAAGCTCCTCAGCTAAGGCTCTAGGATCACAGGACATGGGACAGCCATGGGCTTTCCTCACCTGTGACAGAAACAAGCAGTGGGTCACTTGACTTTGACCACTCGTATGGAGAGTCATGGAAAGAGCCGAAGCATCTGTAGGTCCCTCCGTGGGTGGCAGGGCCCAGAGGAAAGTCAGCCTGGAATGTTCCGTTGACCTTGGGCCCTGCAGGGAGCCTACGTTCATGGGCCTCCCCTTCCCTGGATAGATGGTACATGTCATAGGAGCTCCAGGAGCTGCAGGACAAGGTCACATTCTCTCCTGCCAGAACCGTGGGGCCCAGCTGGGCTGAGAGAGAAGGTTTCTCATATAGACCTGGAAGGAGAAGAGGCAGTTTCCTCAGGGAGGATCTTCTTTGTCACAGCTCCCTTCACCTGAGCTGAGAACTCACTCCCCTGTTCTATGACCTAATGCTCTCTCTCTCTCTCTCTCACCCTCTACCCCATCGCTCTTCATGTCTATTTCCTCCTTCCACCTTCTCTGTCTCTCTAGGTCTCTGACCTCACTTCCCCACCTCTAGATATGTTTTCTCTTTTTGGATTGTTTTATTCTCTCTGACTCTCCTTGGATTGGTTGACTTGATGTTACTTTTTTTAATTCTGAGTTTCTCACTTTGTGTCCTGTTCATAACTTTCTGCATATTTCTATCTATTATCTATCGATCTATCTATTTATCTATTCGGTGCCTATCTACAAATTCTCTACCTGTCATCTATATCTATATATCATCTATTTATCCATCAATTGTCTATCTATCCATCAATCATCTATTATCTATATCTATGTATCATCTCTCTCTCTCTATGATTTCTCTATGTCTGCCTCTGTATCTCTATGTATTATCTATCTATCTGTCTTCATCATCATCATCTCTATGTCTCATCTATTAATGAATCAATCAATCATCATCTATGTATCTATAACCTATTATCTATCATCTACCTATTTATCATCTATCTATATCTATCCATCTATCATCTGTCTTGCTCTGCCTCTCGGTCTCTCTAGTTCTCTTTGGAATCTCTGCAATTCATCCCCACATCTCCATCTTTCAATGTCCTTGTGCCTCTCCCTCAGGAGTCTAATTTTAGTGCTTTTCTCTGCTCCCTTCCATCATTCTCACCACTCCTCTGCCCTCTTTTCTCTCTCTTTATGTGTCTGTGAGTCTCTCAATCTCCTTCCTCTGGCTCATTCTCTGTGTGTTTATGTCTTTGCTTTTTGGTGTCCCTGATTTCTCTCTGTGCCTCTCACTGATCCTCTCATAAGTGGGCTTATTTGGAATATGAGCCTCAGAATCCAGTCTGGAGACTACAAGTTCACACAGCATACAGGGGTTGGTGTTGTGGGGCCATGATATCCTGGGACGATTACTCTCCATTACATGGAAGGCAGAGGTGTCAGAATAAACATGGCATCTGTAGGTGCCACAAGGCCTGAGGCCACAGGGCCCAACTCAGGTCAGAAATATGGGTGTCCTTGGGTTCTCCTGGTAGAGAACACTTTGTGGAGGTAAAACAGAAATGAAACTTCTAACCTGTGCCAGGTCTCTGAGCAAAGTCAGCATGGAGGGACACCTCTCTCTGGGACATGTCTGTCTGTGTGTCTCCTTTAACTCTTTCTGTCTTTTCTAACTCCCGGTATGGCCCCTGTGTCTGTTCTCTGTTATGACACCTGGTCTCTACTTGTGTCTCCTGTTTCTCTGTCTCTGTTGGCACAGACCTCACCAAGTCAGTCTCTCTCCATAAGAATACCAAGCTCATCTTCCTTACAGCCACCTGGGTCTCCAATTCCTGGATCATTCACTCTGCATCCCAATGACAATGAGAAGAAAGTCTGGACACTCTCACCTATGATCACGATGTCCAGAGGGTCACTGGGAGCTGACACCTGATAGGGGGAGTGAGTAACAGAACCGTAGCATCTGTAGGTCCCTGCCAGGTCTTGCGTCATGCGACTGATGGAGAAGTTGGCCTTGGAGACCCCATCATGGTGTTCTCCAATGAGGCGCAAAGTGTCGTTAAACATCCCCTCTCTGTGCAGAAGGAAGTGTTCAAACATGACATCTGACCAACACTGCAGGATGACTGTCTCTTCTGATTTCACCAGGCGACCTGGGTGGGCCAGGAGGGAAGGTTTTCTGTGGACTCCTAGGAAGAGAGGTTGTGAGTTTAGAAGGTGTCTCTCTTTATCATCCCATCCATGGCACCTGGATTGAGTCAGGCTTCCCCTTCCTGGTGTCTTATCTCTCTCCTTCCTCTCTGTGTCTTCATGTTCTTTTCTGTGCCCATAACTCCTGGTGCAGGTCCTTCCATCTGTCTCCCTCACTCTTCTCTGTCCCTCTGTCTCTAGTAGCCTCTGATTCCCTTGCCGCTGGGCTCAGCCTCATCTCTTGGGCTGTTGTATCTATTTCGAACTAATGTCTTTCCTGCTGTCTATGTGGGGGTGGAAGAGGAACCAGGATAGGCTGCACATCCAGGCTCTTAGCAGCCTGGTTCAATCTCTTTTGGACGAATTGGAATCCTTGGCAGGAGGTATGAACTGATCAGTAAGGCAGGCACCAGTGGCCACACACCCTGTTCCTGGTAGGGACTGGGAGCCACTCTTGCCATGCCAGTGCCAGCTTCCATAGGCTGGCTCCTGGTGCTGGTTGGAGGAGTATCAACCCCTCCCTATGTGGATGGAGCCTGGTGGTGGCATCATCATCTGAGCCTTGCTGATCTCAGTGTAGCCAACCTTCTCCTTGTTTGGTTTCTTTAATTAATTAATTAATTTTGGCGACAGAGTCTCACTCCTTTGCCCAGGCTGGAGTGAAGTGGTGTGGTCTAGGCTCACTGCAACCTCTGTCTCCTGGGTTCAAGTGATTCTCCTGCCCTCAGCCTCCCAAGTCGCTAGGATTACATGCACCTGCCACCATGCCTGGCTATCCTTGTGTTGTTTCTTAACTTGTCCTTGACCTGGGTTCCAGTGTTGGTTTCCTGTTGCTGCTGTAGAAAATTATCAGAAGCATGGCACCAGGAGAGAGCACACTAACCCCTTCCAATTCTGGAGACAGAAATCGGACCCTGTTTGTCGTGGGTAAAATCAAGGCACCTGCAGGGCTTCGTTCCCTCTGGAGACTCAGGAGAATCAGTTCCTTGACTTTTCCAGCCTCTATAGGCCACCTGCATTCATGGCTCCTGGACTTCCTCCACCTTCAAAGCTGATGGAGACTCCCATTATGCTGCTGTAATCCCCACTCCCCTCTTCCTCCTCCTTTCATGTGGACCCCTGTGACTACACTGAGCCCATCAGGACAGTCCAGGCTGTCTCCCCATCTCAAGGTCAACTCATCAACAACCTGAGCTCCATCTTCTCCTTCAGTCCCTTCCCCTATATCATAAATAGTCACAGACTCCAGGGATTAGAATGTAGTCATCACTGGGGACAATTATTCTTCCCACCACAGCACCCATTTCCCTGTATTCAATCCCCCTTTACCCCAAATACAGTCAGGACTTGCATGATGGGACCCGCAAGGACACGCCCACCAGGAGCTCTGGGATTCAGGAGGTGGGACAAGGAGAATCCCAGACAGGAGCCCTCTGACCTGTGACCGTGATCTCCAGGGGGTTGCTGGGTGCCGACCACCCACTGGGGTAGTGTGGTTGTGAACCCCGACATGTATAGGTCCCTGCGTGTGCTGGGGTCACAGGGCCCATGAAAAGGCTGTTCCAGAATATTATGTTGTAGAGCTCAGGGACAGGCACCCCATCTTCCTTTTACAGACTGAAGTTGTTAAACCCAAGATAAGAATGACACTGAAGAATCACATGTCCTGGAGGCACCACAGGGCTTGGCCAGGCAGACAGCAAGGGCTTGTCCTGACCACCGTGGGGAGAAGGAGGCACCGCCTTAGAGAGGAGGATGTGGAGCCGCCCCTCCCTCCCTGTGCTCTGAAGATTCTCCTCGCTTTCCAAGTTTCTATGGCTGCTATCACACCTTGGTGCCCAGGGCTAAAGGAAGGACCCATCCCGCAAACACAAGGTGTCTCCCTACAACAAAAGTGTCAGCTGAGAACTTTGAGCAAGTGCTGAGTAAGAGACTCCTACTAGATTTTAATACTGTAAGATTACTCACATAAAACAACACAGGGTAGACATGGGGTGGAGGGCATGTCCTTTGAGAATGGAATATCAGCCGATGCCTGAACGAAAATAAACAACTGAGTCCCCATCAGAGGATTGGAATGTCAGGGCCATGGCTGTGGTTTTCCCACCTCTTCTGGTAGAATGACAGCAGCCACACTGCAGCCCCTACCGTCATGGAAACGCTGAAGTGTGTGAGTAACACCTTTGTCCTCAGAGGATCTGCTGTTCCTACCACTTCCCCACCACACACCCCAGCTTTGAGCACCGTAGTCTAACCCTGGTCCCCACAGAACTTGACTCTGCCAAGGGAATGAAAGGCCAGGGAGGCAAGGTCAGAAATGTGGGCCCAGCACCCCAGGGTCCCTTCTTCCTAGTTTATGAGAGACTCCCTGACAGGACTTCCCTCCCATTTCAGGAAAATCCTCTTATGTGGGGAGATGACACCCGAAGGTTTGGAGAAGGACTCACCCTCATGTGGCCAGGCCCCCTGCAGCAAGAAGAACCCTGGAAAGAAAGATCATGATGGATGACCCATCTGCAGGCAAACCAGGGCACCCTTGCTGCCCCCACTGGGCTGTGAGTCTTGGTAGCCAGGCCCTTCCTGGGCTGAAGGTAAACTCACCCTCAGTGCCTACCTGCACCCAAGAACAGGGCTGTCGGCTGTGCAGAGACCCAGCCTCCAGGTCCATATCCCCACCTCAAGCCCATATCTCCACTCCAGGCCCATATCTCCACTCCAGGCCGATATTTCCACCCTAAGCCCATATCGCCAATCCAGGCCCATATCTCCAATCCAGGCTCAGATCTCCACCCTGGGCCCATATCTCCAATCCAGGCCCTTATCTCCACTCCAGGTCCATATCTCCTCTCCAGTCCCATATCTCCACTCCAGGCCCATATATCCTCTCCAGTCCCATATCTCCACACCCAGGCCCGTATCTCCATCCTAGGCACATATCTCCTCTCCAGGCCCAGATATCGACCTCTAGGCCCATATCTCCACTCCTGGCCCATATCTCCACTCCAGGCCCAGATATCGACCTCTAGGCCCATATCTCCACTCCTGGCCCATATCTCCACTCCAGGCCCATGTCTCCACTTCAGGCCCATATCTCTACTGCAGGCCCATAACTCCACCTCCAGGCCCATGACTCCACTCCAGGCCCATATCTCCACCTCCAGGCCCATATCTCCCCTCCAGGTTCCTATCTCCCCTCCAGGTTCCTATCTCCACTCCAGGCCCAGATCTCCACTACAGTCCCATCACTCCACCTCCAGGCCTATATCTCGACCTCTGGGCCCAGATCTCCACTTCTAGGCCCATCACTCCATCTCTAGGCCCATATATCCACTCCAGGCCCAGATCTCCACTCCAGGCCCATAACTCCACCTCCAGGCCTATATCTCCACCTCTGGGCCCAGATCTCCATCCCCTCACTCCCTCCCTCTATTGCTTTCCAGGACTCACCAACACACGCCATGCTGACGACCAAGAGCGACATGGTGCTGCCGGAGCAGACAGGCAGCCGCGACCGAGCTCAGCTCAGCAGCGCACAGGATGTTATTTGGCGCCCTGCCCATGCAGTTTACATGTTGACCACATCATGGGAGGGTGACGTACGCAGGCTCTTTCTACCTTGCATGAGGCCCAGTGGGTGCTCGCTCAAGAGCGGAACACGGCTTCCTGGAAATTGTTCTCGCTAGAATTTGACACCTAGTGTCCTTCACTATGACCAACTCAAAACACGTCTGAGATCCAACCTCCCGAACACGAGATGCCTAAAATCTGTGCTAACATGAAAGACTTTTCATGTATTTCTATTGTTTTTATCTGAGATTCAAACTCTTCTTCCTGTGTAATATGCAAAATATCTAATAGGTATTATTAATGTTTTCAGAGTCATTGTCACTAATAAACCATTAGAATTTTTCATGCTTGTATTTCTAGTATTACAGCAGAACCAGTTAAAATGATTTAAATTCCCAGGGAAGGATTATGCAATTATTTACAATCTTAGAATTGTACTTTATCAGTAAAAACCCCACCTGTAAATTCTGGAGTTTTGTAGTTTAATCTAAAATTTGTCTCATGACCCAAGATTCCAGAGTCCCAACTCTGGAGTTTGTTTTCCGTCTGTCTCTCTCCCTCCCTCATTTTAAATTTTACAGAAATATCCAGTAACATAATGCTATAGAAAATCAAGTTTCCCCAGCACGTTGGGAAGCCGAGGTGGGCGGATCAACTGAGATAAGGAGTTTGAGAGCAGCCTGGCCAATATAGTGAAACCGTGTCTCTGCTAAAAATCCAAAAATTAGCCGTGCCTGGTGGCAGGCACCTGTAACGCCAGCTACTCAAGAGGCTGAGGCATGAGAATCGCTTGAACCTGGGAGGCAGAAGTTGCAGTGAGCTGAGATTGTGTCACTGCAGTCCAGCCTGGGCGACAGAGCAAGACTCCGCCTCAAGAAAAAAAAGCAAATAGCCTATAATAACAAATTAGAGAGCTCTGGCTACTAAATTTAAAGGGTTCTATAAGGCTACATAAAGTGCAGCATCATCAAGAGTGTGGACACAGAGAGCCCCTTAGCAGAAACAGTGTCTAAAGTACATCCGTGTACACACAGTCCCTTTAGAGTTGACAAAGGCTGCCGTGTGGTTTAAGGTGGCATAGAATGTCTTCTCAATAAATAATATTAAACCAATGGGTTATACCTAGGAAAAAATAAATCTAACTCACACTATAAAAACACTTCTTAGTTTTTATCTAGTTGTACATTTTTTATGATTTATATTTAAATTTGAGAAATAAAAGTCATATACGGTCATCCTTCACTATTCGTGGGTGATTGGTTTCGAGATCTCCACTCAGATACCAAAATCTGTAGATGCTCAAGCCTCTTATATGAAATGGCACAGAGTTTGCAAATAACCTATGCACATCCTCCTGTATACATGAAATCATCTCTAGATTACTTATAATTCCTGATGCAGCCTACACACAGCTTCATTTGTGTCCATTCAACACAGTTCTGCTTTTTGTAACTCTGTGGATACTTTCTCTGAATATTTTTGATTTATACTCGGTTCAATAAAGAACTGTAAACCCCACAGATATGGAGGAGTGACTGTATATTTATAGTGTGAAAGATGATGTGTTGATATGTGTCCCTGTGTAGATGAGACTAACAAGGCCTATGATTCTACAAATGTTTCATCTTGGAATGACTCTGCCAGATTTCCAGGTCTGCAGAGAGTAAGAATATCACTTGTTCATGTGATTCACGATCCTTGGAACCTCCTATGTGCTACATCTTTGGATGGAAATAGGAGTCCCAGAGACAAATGAGGCTCCACCCTGCTTCCAGAAACTCAGAGTCCGGGGGTGAGAACCCAGTGGAGAACAGATGGGGTTATGTGGACATGGTAATGATAATGGAAGTCTTAGGCAAGAAAAGAGTCCCATTACCGAAACCATGAGGGCAGACATGTTTATTTGAAGGAGGGAAAACTACATTGAAATTATTTTAAAAAATATATAAGTTTTACTGCTGACAGAAGGCTGAAAGATACTCTGAGGGGAGGTGGAACAGCATGAGGGAAGGTGGAACAGGACGTGTCTAAGTGCCGTGTTAAGAGGGAGCCTCTTGTATGTTTGGAACTGTGAGTTCCTCAGTGTGATTGCAGCCTCAAGTAGACTAGGAAGTAAGCCAGTAAGGTTGGAGAGGTGGGCAGGGGTCAAGTGAAATGGAGAATTGTGGGCTAAGCAAAGGAGTGTGTTTTCTCTCCAGCAGGCAGTGGGGACCTTAGACATTTGTAAGCAAGAGAGAGGCACATTCAGATTTGTGGTGTGAGGAAGAGCGATGCCCTAAGATGCAGACTCACGCCTTCAGATTCCAGCTGCTGGTACATGGGAGCTGGCAACCCGGTTTTGAGACAGGGCTGTTGTCTCCCTAGAAGATCCCCTCAAGGCCTGACTGTGGTGCTCATGGGCAGGAGACAACTTTGGATCTGGACTCAGCATTTGGAAGTTCCGTGTACACTCTGGTATCTGTTGGGGGTGTCTTGGGCCTCTGAGAAGGGCGAGTGATTTTTCTCTGTGTGAAAACGCAGTGATCCAACTGTACGTATGTCACCTCCTGAGGGTCTTGTTCATCAGAGTCCTGGAGAGAGGGAAATCCTGAGTGAGGGAGGGTGCTCACGTTTTCCAGGACTGTTTGGGAATAACACTAGCCACGAGGCTGGGCCGAGGAGCACCTACCTCGCTATTCGCTGTTCTGTTCCCTGCAGGCTCTTGGTCCATTACAGCAGCATGTGTAGGAGACGGAAGTCAACAAAAGAGCTCGGAGGGCACTTCTGGGTCCTCATTTCATAAGCAGATACCAACAAACAGGGGGAGGCCATAGGTGCCTGAGGTCCCTCAGTTGCCAACAGCAGACTCAGACATTCTATCTCTCTGAGCTCAAGGACCCATCCCATGAATAGCTCTGAGTTCCCATCCCATTGATTCTGTCTCCCACTTTCTGCCTGTCATGGAACCTTCTCCTGGATGTGAGTGGCTGCAGGGGACATGAGGATACAGTTCAGAATCAGGCAACGGTCTGTGAGCTGAAAGCAGGGACAGGGAGTCTGGTGCCCTCTCTAGAAAGTCCTGCCTCTGTGGCTGCTGCCTTGGGCCAGGGACCATCCTACCTGTGAGGAACACACACCTGAGTGCTCCCATCCTGCTTCCCCACATGGCCCTGAGCTCTCTGGCCTCTCCTTCGTGAGACTTACTTTTCTTGTTGGAGCACCAGCGATGAAGGAGAAAGAAGAGGAGGAGGATGAAGAGGATGATGACCACTGAGGTCCCAATCAGAACGTGCAGGTGTCTTGGGTTACCTGGAAGAAGATGAGACACCAATAAGAAGCTAATCATAGCAGTTCCTCTTTATGAATTGTCTCGCATTTCTTGATTGACAGGTAACCACGTAAAACACCTCTTTAGGACAAGCACCCAGATGGCGGGAGACCCAGCTTTCTCCTGCTTTCTCAGTTATAGCTCTCAAAGTAACCATAGAATGTGCTGAGGACACAACTACTTTAGTTGAGATGTTTGACCCCTTCAAACCTCACATTGAAATTTCACCCCCATTGTGGGAGGTTGGGCCTCTTGAGAGGTGTTTGGGTCATGGAGGTGGATCCATCATGAACAGATCAATGCTGTCCCAAGGAGACGGGGTTAGCTAGTTCCCCCTCTATTAGTTCCTGGAGAGCTGGTTGTTCAAAAGAACTTGGAAGCTCCATCGCTCCCCCTCCCCCTTGCTCCCTCTCTTGCCGTGTGATCTCTGTGGTCTCTGCACAGACAGACCCTCCTTCCCTTCTGCCAGAGTGGGAGCAGCCTGAGGCCATCACGAGAAATAGATGCTGGTGCCATGCTTCCAGTACAGCCTGCAGAACGGTGAGGCAAACCAATCTCTTTTCTTTAGAAGTTGCCCAGGCTCAAGTGTTCCTTTAGAGCAACAAAAATGGACTAAGACAGCAACGTCCTGAGATCAGGAGGAACGTCCCAGAGCAGCCTGGGCTGTCTTCCTGTTCTTCCTGGAGGAGGACGTCATGCAGTGCTTTAGCTGAGTGCTTCCTGTGGCTCCAGGGTACAAAACCCAGGCTGGGCTGCTTTCTGGCTTCCCCCAGCTACACTGCAAATGGGGTGACTCCATATGTCCCGAGCAGCTTTTCTGAGCCTTGAGGGACTGGCTCACATTGAAATGTAGGCTTCTGTTTTCACTCGCTGCTTATCTGTTAGTAATGAACCTGCCTATGTAACGTATTCTCTGTGTGTTCTGTCTCCCTGGAGTGACGGTGAGTGATAGGAATTGGCGTAGGCCCAGGTGCAGTCTAGGAGGTGTTTAGGGTCTTTTCTGGGAAGACTGCACTGGGATTGACACACAGCGAATGTGCTTTAGGATTTCTACATCCACAGCATTCTTGAGTCAAACAACTTGCGTTCTCCAAGGAAAGGAAACAAAAGTGAAATCAAGATAAAAAAGCGAAATAGAGTTATCTTATGTCCAACAGCCAGGAAATCGTGTTGAAGCCCCTGTGAAACGTCCTACTCTTTGTGATCTCGGGAGACACATGTTAGGCTGCTGTTCTACCTGAGAGGCTGGGGGAAGGACCACCCCCTCCACCATCTATTGCTTCAATACCACCTGTCCTCCTGTGAATTAGTAGGAAAGGGGAGCAGGAGCTAGTGCTGGTGCTGATCTCTCATTCCAAGATCTGGACTCACTCCAAGGAGTATTAATGTTTACCTCCCCATGGTCTATCTGAATCTCCACAGGTGATTGGAAGTAGGGGTGAAGTGGGGGATTTGAGTGAGAGGGCAAGTTTTTTTTGTGATGAACAGAGCACTTTCTCTATTCCACGATCTGTGCTGGAGGATTCAGCGGGCTTTCACATTTTCTATATGGTCTCATGCTCACAGAAAGCCAAATACGGAAGAGGTTTTAGGCTCATTGCCTAATGGATAAGACAAAGGATCAAAGAAGTAATTATAGAGAAATACAAAAATGATGATTGGAATTCAGGTGCCTTTGTCATTCGTGTGTGTTTTATTATATTTATGCATTTCTTATTTTTATTTTTTGAGACGGAGTCTCCTTGTGTCACCCAGGCTGGAGTGCAGTGATGCAATCTCCACTCACTGCAACCTCCACCTCCTGGGTTGAAGTCGTTCTCCTGCTTCATCCTCAAGAGTAGGAGCTGGGATTACAGGGATGCACCACCATGCTCGGCTAATTTTTGTATTTTTCATAGAGACAGGGTTTCACCATTTTGGCCAGGCTGGTCTGGAACTCCTGACTTCAAGTGATCCACCCGCCTTGGCCTCCTGCAGTGCTGGGAATTGCCTTTTCCACGGCCTGAGCATGGGGCCGTGGCTGAATGAGTCAGTGAGTCGAAGTGTGCGTGCATGAGCTCCGTTCTCTGTTAAGGCAAAGCTCTTGCTCTGCTGAGTCAGCCAGGGTTGCTTCATGACCAACAGTAATTCATTCCTGGGCAAGTGGAACTTCTCTAAAACACCTCGCCCTCATCAAATGTTCCCTACCCTTCCCTCTCTCAAGCCCCCAGGAATTTATCCTCCAGTTAGGAATGCAGGCAGAACAAACATTGCATTTTTCCTGAGAAGGATGTCAGATTGCCAATCATTTTTCTAGCTTGTAGGAGATCTCAGCTCCATAAAATGAGAGATTAAGAGATTTCACAGAGCCCTGTTTTGGGTCCAGATCCCTTTCGCTGTTGGAGTATCTGGAGTTTGGAGATGGTAGAAGACAGGCGTACAATGTCAGAGCTGTGAGATGCTGAGTCAACGCCTGAATCCAAGGTTTCCACCTCCCCAGGTTTCCAAAAGCGGATATAAGAGGGTTCTGTACTCACCGGTTTTGGAGCTTGGTTCAGTGGGTGAAGGCCAACTATTTGAAGGGTTTCCTAGAACATGAGACAGGAGAGAGGTGAGGAAATGAGGGTGTCTGTCCTCTACTCAGTGGAAATCTTTGAGGTTGGTTCATGGCCAACACTCTGTTATCTAATATTGGGCCCTGGGAGTCCTGGGATCCTTTTTTCCGTAATTTTTGTATGTGACGGCTACTGTCTTGAGACTTCAAGGTATAAAGAGAAAACAGGAGCATCACACTACCTGATCTCAAAATATGTTACAGAGCTGTAGTAAGCAAGACAGCATGACGTTGGCATGAAGAAAGGCACATAGAACAACGGAGCAGAATGAATAACACAGATATAATCCATGCATTTACCTCCAATGTATTTTTTGTTTTTCTTTTGAGATGGAGTCTTGCTCTGTCACCCAGGCTGGAGTGCAGAGGTGCAATCTCGGTTCACTGCCACCACAGCCTCCTGGGTTCAATCACTTCTCTTGCCTCAAACTCCTGAGTAGTGGTATTACAGGTGCTGACCACCATGCTCAGCTAATTTTTATATTTTTAGTGGAGACGATGTTTCATCACGTTGGCCAGACTAATCTTGAACTCTTGGCCTCAGGTGATCCACCCACCTCGGGCTCCCAAAGTGCTGAAATTGCAGGTGTCAGCCACCATGCCCAGCCCATCCAATGGACTTTGACAAAGGTGCCAAGAACTCACAATCAGGAAAGGACAGTCTTTTCAATAAACAGTGCAGGGAAACCTGGACATCGACATGCAGAGGAATGAAACTGCACCTCTGCCTGTCACTATACACAAAAATCAAATGAAAATGGATTAAAGATGTGAGTCTAAGGCCTGAACCTATGAAACACGTAGAAGAAAATATTGGGGAAATGCTCCAGGACGTTTGTCTGAAGGAAGACATTTTGTTTTAAACCTTCAAAACACAAGTAATCGAAGCAAAAATAGACCATTGGGATTACCTCAAACTAAGCAACTTCTGCACCGCTAAAAATAAACCAACAAAGTGAAGAGACAACCCACAGATTGGGAGCAAATATGTGCAAACTATGCATCTGAGATGGGATTAATAACTAGAAATATAAGAAGCTCAAACAACTCAATAAAACAAATGATTTAATTGAAACAGGAGCAAAAGACATGAAATTTCCCCACATACGAAAAAGTGCTCAGTATCACTCATCATCAGAGAAACACAAATTAAAATCAAAGTGAGTTTTCATCTCACCCCATTAAAATGGCTTTTAGGCCGGGCGTGGTGGCTCACGTCTGTCATCCTAGAACTTTGAGAGCCTGAGGTGGGTGAATCTCATAAGGTCGGGAGTTTGAGACCAGTCTGACCCACATGGAGAAACACTGTCTCTACTAAAAATACAAAAATTAGTCGGGCGTGGTGGCGTGTGCCTGTAATTCCAGCTACTCGGGAGGCTGAGGCAGGAGAATCGCTTGAACCTGGGAGGTGGAGGTTGTGGTGAGCCGAGATCGCACCACTGCACTCAGCCTGGGTGACAAGAGCGAAACTCCATCTCAAAATAAAATGAAATAAAATAAAATGGCTTTTAGCTGCAAGACAGGCAAAAGAAATGCTGGCAAGGTGTTAGAGAAAGGAGAATCCTGGTATCCTGTTGGTAGGAGTGTAAATTAGTACAGCCATTACGGAGAAAAGTGTGGAAGTCCTTTAAAGAACTAAAAAGAGGTTGGGTGAGGTGGATCATGCCTGTAATCCCGGCACTTTGGGAGACCGAGGCGGGCACCTCAGTTGAGGTCATGAGTTTGAGAGCAGCCCAGCCAACATGGGGAAACCGCATCTATACTAAAAAAAACAAAAAGTAGCCAGGCATGGTGGCGTGCGCCTATAATCCCTGATACTAGGGAGGCTGAGGCAGGAAAATCATTTGAACCCAGGAGGCAGAGGTTGCAATGAGCCAAGATGACATCACTTGTACTCCAGCCTGGGCACAGAGGGAAACTGTCTCAAAAACAAAAACAAAACAACAAACGAAAAACTAAAAAGAGAACTTTCATAGTATCCAGCAATTTCACTACTGGGTTTATATCCAAAGGAAAGTAAATCAATATATCGAAGTGATATCTGCACTCGTATGATTGGTGCAGCACTCTTCACAGTAGCCAAGATGAGGAGTCAACCTACCTGCCCATCAGTGGGTGAATGGATAGAGAGAATGTGGTACATTTGCATAGTGGAGACTACTCTTCCATAGAAAGAAAAACATCCTGATATTTGCAGCCACATGGATGGAACTGGAGGTCATTACAAAGATTCCCATTTCTTACCCATATACAGGAGCTAAAAGGTGGATCTCATGAAGGTAGAGAGTAGAATGGTGGCTACCAGAGGCCAGGAAGAAAAGGGTGGAGGGTAAAAAAAAATATGTGTATATATATATATATTAATGTATTTATGACCACTAGACTTTACACTTAAAAATGGTAAATGTGGCTGGGCGTGGTGGCTCATGCCTGTAATCCCAGCACTTTGGGAGGCTGATGCGGGTGGATCACGTGGTCAGGAGTTCGAGACCAGCTTGACCAACATGGTGAAACCCCCTCTCTACTAAAAATACAAAAAGTAGCCTGGCATGGTGGTGCGCGCCTGTAGCACCAGCTACTCAGGTGGCTGAGGCAAGAGAATCGCTTGAACCCAGGAGGCGGAAGTTGCAGTGAGCTGAGATTGTGCCAATGCACTCCAGCATAGGGGACAGAGCTAGACTCCGCCTCAAAAAAAAAATGTTAAAGGTGGTAAGCTATATAGGTATATTTATCCTCAATAAATATTTCTCAAACAAAAGTAAAGGGTGTAGGGGTTGCAGGTGATGACATCCCTGTGTGGGTGGGAGGCCAGGATGGGCTTCTGGGAAATGGGTAATGTTGAGGGGCTGAGGGAACCTCTGATCTTCCCAAACTGAGCCCAGTCTCCCTCCTCTGGGTCTCTCCTGACCGCTTTCTCCATCTGCCTGGGTGCCTGGAGTCCTGGCCGCAGGCCTTCATGCAGGCCATGTAGGAGGGTTTGGAGGTGCCCTGTCTGCCATCCTGTGCCCTGATCCCTCCCTCACACCCAAGCTTCGTCTTCTCTCTGCATCTGTTCATCCTTCTCTCCATCCTCAGCAGGAAGCTCCTCAGCTAAGGCTCTAGGATCATAGGACATGGGACAGCCATGGGCTTTCCTCACCTGTGACAGAAACAAGCAGTGGGTCACTCGAGTTTGACCACTCGTAGGGAGAGTCACGGAAAGAGCCGAAGCATCTGTAGGTTCCTCCGTGGGTGGCAGGGCCCAGAGGAAAGTCAGCCTGGAATGTTCCGTTGACCTTGGGCCCTGCAGAGAACCTACGTTCATGGGCCTCCCCCTCCCTGGATAGATGGTACATGTCATAGGAGCTCCGGGAGCTGCAGGACAAGGTCACGCTCTCTCCTGCCAGAACCGTGGGGCCCGGCTGGGCTGAGAGAGAAGGTTTCTCATATAGACCTGGAAGGAGAAGAGGCATTTTCCTTACGGAGGATCTTCCTTGTCACAGCTCCCTTCACCTGAGCTGAGAACTCACTCCCCTGCTCTATGACCTAATGCTCTCTCTCTCTCTCTCTCTCACCCTCCACCCCATCTCTCTTCATGTCTATTTCCTCCTTCCACCTTCTCTGTCTCTCTAGGTCTCTGACCTCGCTTCCACACCTCTAGATATGTTTTCCCTTTTTGGATTGTTTTATTCTCTCTGACTCTCCTTGGATTGGTTGACTTGATGTTACTTTTTTAAATTCTAAGTTTCTCACTTTGTGTCCTGTTCATAACTTTCTGCATATTTCTATCTATTATCTATCGATCTATCTATTTATCTATTCGGTGCCTATCTACAAATTCTCTACCTGTCATCTATATCTATATATCATCTATGTATCTATCACTTGTCTATCTATCCATCAATCATCTGTTATCTATATCTATGTATCATCTCTCTCTCTATGACTTCTGTCTGCCTCTCTATCTCTATGTATTATCTATCTGTCTTCATCATCATCATCTCTATGTCTCATCTATTAATGAATCAATCAATCATCATCTATGTATCTTTAACCTATTATCTATCATCTACCTATTTATCATCTATCTATATCTATCCATCTATCATCTGTCTTGCTCTGCCTCTCGGTCTCTCTAGTTCTCTTTGGAATCTCTGCAATTCATCCCCCACATCTCCATCTTTCTATGTCCTTGTGCCTCTCCCTCAGGAGTCTAATTTTAGTGCTTTTCTCTGCTCCCTTCCATCATTCTCACCACTCCTCTGCCCTCTTTTCTCTCTCTTTATGTGTCTGTGAGTCTCTCAATCTCCTTCCTCTGGCTCATTCTCTGTGTGTTTATGTCTTTGCTTTTTGGTGTCCCTGATTTCTCTCTGTGCCTCTCAGTGATCCTTTCATATGTGGGGTTATTTGGAATGTGAGCCTCAGAATCCAGTCTGGAGACCACAAGTTCACACAGCATACAGGAGTTGGTGTTCTGGGGCCATGATATCCTGGGACGGTTACTCTCCATTACATGGAAGGCAGAGGTGTCAGAATAAACACGGCATCTGTAGGTGCCACAAGGCCTGAGGCCACAGGGCCCAACTCAGGTCAGAAATATGGGTGTCCTTGGGTTCTCCTGGTAGAGAACACTTTGTGGAGGTAAAACAGAAATGAAACTTCTAACCTGTGCCAGGTCTCTGAGCAAAGTCAGCATGGAGGGACACCTCTCTCTGGGACATGTCTGTCTGTCTGTCTCCTTTAACTCCTTCTGTCTTTTCTAACTCCCGGTATGGCCCCTGTGTCTGTCCTCTGTTATGACACCTGGTCTGTACTTGTGTCTCCTGTTTCTCTGTCTCTGTTGGTACAGACCTCACCAAGTCAGTCTCTCTCCATAAGAATACCAAGCTCATCTTCCTTACAACTACCTGGGGGTTCCAAGTCGTGGATCATTCACTCTGCATCCCAATGACAATGAGAAGAATGTCCGGACACTCTCACCTGTGATGACGATGTCCAGAGGGTCACTGGGAGCTGACAACTGATGGGGGAGTGAGTAACAGAACCGTAGCATCTGTAGGTCCCTGCCAGGTCTTCCATCATGGGACCGATGGAGAAGTTGGCCTTGGAAACCCCATCATGGTGCTCTCCAGTGAGGTGCAAAGTGTCGTTAAACTTCCCTTCTCTGTGCAGAAGGAAGTGCTGAAACCTGACATCTGACCAACATTGCAGGATGACTGTCTCTTCTGATTTCACCAGGGGACCTGGGTGGGCCAGGAGGGAAGGTTTTCTGTGGACTCCTAGGAAGAGAGGTTGTGAGTTTAGAAGGTGTCTCTCTTTATCATCCCATCCATGGCACCTAGAATGAGTGAGGCTTCCCCTTGCTGGTGTCTGTCTCTCTCCTTCCTCTCTGTGTCTTCATGTTCTTTTCTGTGCCCATAACTCCTGGTGCAGGTCCTTCCATCTGTCTCCCTCCCTCTTCTCTGTCCCTCTGTCTCTAGTCGCCTCTGATTCCCTTCCCACTGGGCTTAGCCTCATCTCTTGGGGTGTTGTATCTATTTCACACTAATGTCTTTCCTGCTGTTTATGTGGGGGTGAAAGAGGAACCAGGATAGGCTGCACATCCAGCCTCTTATCAGCCTGGTTCAATCTCTTTTGGATGAATTGGAATCCTTGGCAGTAGGTATGAACTGATGAATAAGGCAGGCACCAGTGTCCACACACCCTGTTCCTGGTCGGGACTGGGAGCCACTCTTGCCATGCCTGTGCCTTCTCCATGGTGCCAGCTTCCATAGGCTGGCTCCTGGTGCTGGTTTGAGGAGTATCAACCCCTCCCTATGTGGATGGAGCCTGGTGGTGGCATCATCATCCCACACTTGCTCATCTCGGTGTAGCCAACCTTCCCCTTGTTTGGTTCCTTTAATTAATTAATTAATTATGGAGACAGAGTCTCACTCCTTCACCCCAGCTGGAGTGAAGTGGTGTGGTCTAGGGTCACTGCAACCTCTGTCTCCTGGGTTCAAGTGATTCTCCTGCCCTCAGCCTCCCAAGTCGCTAGGATTACATGCGCCTGCCACCACACCCGGCTATCCTTGTGTTGTTTCTTACCTTGTCCTTGACCTGGGTTCCAGTGTTGGTTTCCTGTTGCTGCTGTAGAAAATTATCAGAAGCATGGCAGCAGGAGAGAGCACACTGACCCATTTCACTACTGGAGACAGAAATAGGACCCTGTTTTTCCTGGGCTAAAATCAAGGCATCTGCAGGGCTTCGTTCCCTCTGGAGACTCTGGAGAATCATTTCCTTGACTTTTCCAACCTCTACAGGCCACCTGCATTCATGGCTCCTGGCCTTCCTCCACCTTCAAAGCTGGTGGAGTCTCCCATTGCGCTGCTCTAATCCCCACTCCCCTCTTCCTCCTCCTTTCATGTGGACCCTTGTGATTACACTGAGCCCAGCGGGACAGTCCAGGCTGTCTCCCCATCTCAAGGTCAACTCATCAACAACCTGAGCTCCATCTTCCCCTTCAGTTCCTTCCCCTATAACATAAATAGTCACAGACTCCAGGGATTAGAATGTAGTCATCACTGGGGACAATTATTCTTCCCACCACAGCACCCATTTCCCTGTATTCAATCCCCCTTTACCCCAAATATAGTCAGGGCCTGGGTGATGGGACCCTCAAGGACACGCCCACCAGAAGCTCTGGGATTCAGGAGGTGGGAAAGGAGAATCCAAGACAGGAGCCCTCTGACCTGTGGCCATGATCACCAGGGTGTTGCTGGGTGCCGACCACCCACTGGGGTAGTGTGGGTGTGAACCCCGACATCTGTACGTCCCTGTGTGTGCTGGGGTCACAGGGCCCATGAAAAGGCTCTTCCAGAATATTCTGTTGTAGAGCTCAGTGCCAGGCACCCCATCTTCCTTTTACAGACTGAAGTTGTTAAACCCAAGATAAGAATGACACCGAAGAATCACATGTCCTGGAGGCACCACAGAGCTGGGCCAGGCAGACAGCAAGGGCTTGTCCTGACCACCTTGGGGAGAAGGAGGCACCGCCTTAGAGAGGAGGATGTGGAGCCACCCCTCCCTCCCTGTGCTCTGAAGATTCTCCTCGCTTTCCAAGTTTCTATGGCTGCTATCACACCTTGGTGCCCAGGGCTAAAGGAAGGACCCATCCCGCAAACACAAGGTGTCTCCCTACAACAAAAGTGTCAGCTGAGAACTTTGAGCAAGTGCTGAGTAAGAGACTCCTACTAGATTTTAATACTGTAAGATTACTCACATAAAACAACACAGGGTAGACATGGGGTGGAGGGCATGTCTTTGAGAATGGAATATCAGCAGATGCCTGAATGAAAATAAGCAACTGAGCCCCCATCAGAGGATTTGGAATGTCAGGGCCATGGCTGTGGTTTCCCACCTCTTCTGGTGGAGTGACAGCAGCCACACTGCAGCCCCTACCGTCATGGAAACGCTGAAGTGTGAGTAACACCTTTGTCCTCAGAGGATCTGCTGTTCCTACCACTTCCCCACCACGCACCCCAGCTTTGAGCACCCCAGTCTAACCCTGGTCCCCACAGAACTTGACTCTGCCAAGGGAATGAAAGGCCAGGGAGGCGAGGTCGGAACTGTGGGCCGAGCACCCCAGGGTCCCCTCTTCCTAGTTTATGAGAGGCTCCCTGACAGGACTTCCCTCCTGTTTCAGGAAAATCCTCTTATGTGGGGAGATGACACCCTAAGGTTTGGAGAAGGACTCACCCTCATGTGGCCAGGCCCCCTGCAGCAAGAAGAACCCTGGAAAGAAAGATCATGATGGACGATCCATCTGCAGGCAAACCAGCCCTCCCTTGCTGCCCTCACTGGGCTGTGAGTCTTGGTAGGCAGGCCCTTCCTGGACTGAAGTTAAACTCACCCTCAGTGCCTACCTGCACCCAAGAACAGGGCTGTCGGCTGTGCAGAGACCCAGCCTCCAAGCCCAGATCCCCACCACAAGCCCATATCCCCACCACAAGCCCATATCTCCACTCCAGGCCAATATTTCCACCCTAGGCCTGTATCTCCACTCCAGGCCCATATCTCCACTCCAGGCCGATATTTCCATCATAGGCCCATATCGCCAATCCAGGCCCATATCGCCAATCCAGGCCAAGATCTCCACTGTAAGCCCATATCTCCAATCCAGGCCCATATCTCCACTCCAGGCTCAGATCTCCAACCTAGGCCCATATCTCCAATCCAGGCCCATATCTCCACACCAGGCCCATATCTCTACTGAAGGCCAGTAACTCCACCTCCAGGCCCATATCTCCACTCCAGGCCCAGATCTCCACCCCAAGCCCATATCTCCACCCCAGGCCCATATCTCTACTGAAGGCCCGTAACTCCACCTCCAGGCCCATATCTCCACCCCAGGCCCAGATCTCCACCCCAAGCCCATATCTCCACTCTAGGCCCATATCTCCTCTCCAGTCCCATATCTCCACAACCAGGCCCATATCTCCATCCTAGGCCCATATTTCCACTCTAGGCCCAGATATCCACCTCTAGGCCCATATCTCCACTCCTGGCCCAAATCTCCACTCCAGGCCCATATCTCTACTATAGGCCTATAACTCCACCTCCAGGCCCATATCTCCACTCCAGGCTCCTATCTCCCCTCCAGGTTCCTATCGGCACTCCAGGCCCAGATCTCCACTTCTAGGCCCATCACTCCATCTCTAGGCCCATATATCCACTCCAGGCCCAGATCTCCACTCCAGGCCCACAACTCCACCTCCAGGCCTATATCTCCACCTCTGGGCCCAGATCTCCAACCCCACACTCCCTTCCTCTATTCCCTTCCAGGACTCACCAACACACGCCATGCTGACGACCGTGAGCGACATGGTGCTGCCGGTGCAGACAGGCGGCCGTGCCCCAGCTCAGCTCAGCAGCGCACAGGATGTTATTTGGCGCCCTGCCCATGCAGTTTACATGTTGACCACATCATGGGAGGGTGACGTACGCAGGCTCATTCTACCTTGCATGAGGCCCAGTGGGTGCTCGCTCAAGAGCGGAACACGGCTTCCTGGAAATTGTTCTCACTAGAATTTACACCTAGCGTCCTTCACTATGACCAACTCAAAACACGTCTCAGATCCAACCTCCTGAACACGAGATGCCTAAAATCTGTGCTAACGTGAAAGACTTTTCATGTATTTTTATTGTTTTTATCTGAGATTCAAACTCTTCTTCATGTGTAATATGCAAAATATTTAATAGGTATTATTAAGGTTTTCAGAGTCATTGTGACTAATAAACCATTAGAATTTTTCATGCTTGTATTTCTAGTATTACAGCAGAACCAGTTAAAATGATTTAAATTCCCAGGGAAGGATTATGCAATTATTTACAATCTTAGAATTGTACTTTATCAGCAAAAACCACACCTGTAAATTCTGGAGTTTTGTAGTTTAATCTAAAATTTGTCTCATGACCCAAGATTCCAGAGTCCCAACTCTGGAGTTTGATCTCTCTCTGTCTCTCTGCCTCCCTCATTTTAAATTTTACAGAAATATCCAGTAACATAATGCTATAGAAAATCAAGTTTCCCCAGCACGTCGGGAAGCCGAGGTGGGCGGATCAACTGAGATGAGGGGATTGAGAGCAGCCTGGCCAACATAGTGAAACCGTGTCTCTGCTAAAAATCCAAAAATTAGCCATGCCTGGTGGCAGGCACCTGTAACGCCAGCTACTCAAGAGGCTGAGGCACGAGAATCGCTTGAACCTGGGAGGCGGAGGTTGCAGTGAGCTGAGATTGTGTCACTGCAGTCCAGCCTGGGCGACAGAGCAAGACTCCGCCTCAAGAAAAAAAAAAGCAAATAGCCTATAATAACAAATTAGAGGGCTCTGGCTACTAAATTTAAAGGGTTCTATAAGGCTACATAAAGTGTAGCATCATCAAGTGTGTGGACACAGACAGCCCCTTAGCAGAAACTGTCTAAAATACATCCATGTACACACAGTCCCTTTAGAGTTGACAAAGGCTGCCGTGTGGTTTAAGGTGGCATAGAATGTCTTCTCAATAAATAATATTAAACCAATGGGTTACACCTAGTAAAAAATAAATCTAACTCACACTATAAAAACACTTCTTAGTTTTTATCTAGTTGTACATTTTTTGATTTATATTTAAATTTGAGAAATAAAAGTCATATACGGTCATCCTTCACTATTCGTGGGTGATTGGTTTCGAGATCTCCACTCAGATACCAAAATCTGTAGATGCTCAAGCCTCTTATATGAAATGGCACAGCGCTTGCAAATAACATATGCACATCCTCCTGTATACATGAAATCATCTCTTGATTACTTATAATTCCTGATACAGCCTACACACAGCTTCATTTGTGTCCATTCAACATAGTTATGAGTTTTGGAACTCTGTGGATATTTTCTCTGAATATTTTTGATTTATACTTTGTTCAATAAAGACCTGTAAACCCCACAGATACGGAGGAGTGACCGTATATTTATAGTATGAAAGATGATGTGTTGATATGTGTCCCCATGGAGATGAGACTAACAAGGCCTATGACTCTACAAATGTTTCATCGTGGAATGACTCTGCCAGCTTTCCAGGTCTGCAGAGAGTAACAATGTCACTTGTTCATGTGATTCCCGATCCTTGGAACCTCCTATGTGCTGCATCTTTGGATGGAAATTGGAGTCCCAGAGACAAATGAGGCTCCACACTGCTTCCAGAAGCTCAGAGTCCAGAGGTGAGAACCCGGTGGAGAACAGATGGGATTATATGGACATGGTACTGATAACACCGGAAGCCTTAGGCAAGAAAAGAGTCCCATTACCTAAACCATGAGGGCAGACATGTTTATTTGAAGGAGGGAAAACTACATTGAAATTATTTTAAAAAATATATAAGTTTTACTGCTGACAGAAGGCTGAAAGCTAGTCTGAGGGGAGGTGGAACAGCATGAGGGAAGGTGGAACAGCACGTGTCTAAGTGCCGTGTTAAGAGGGAGCCTCTTGTATGTTTGGAATTGTGAGTTCCTCAGTGTGATTGCAGCCTCAAGTAGACTAGGAAGTAAGCCAGTTAGGTTGGAGAGGTGGGCAGGGGTCAAGTGAAATGGAGAATTGTGGGCTAAGCAAAGGAGTGTGTTTTCTCTCCAGCAGGCAGTGGGGACCTTAGACATTTGTAAGCAAGGGAGAGGCACGTTCAGATTTGTGGTGTGAGGAAGAGCGATGCCCTAAGATGCAGACTCACGCCTTCAGATTCCAGCTGCTGGTACATTGGAGCTGGCAACCCAGTTTTGAGACAGGGCTGTTGTCTCCCTAGAAGATCCCCTCAAGGCCTGACTGTGGTGCTCATGGGCAGGAGACAACTTTGGATCAGGGCTCAGCATTTGGAAGTTCCGTGTACACGATGATATCTGTTGGGGGTGTCTTGGGCCTCTGAGAAGGGCGAGTGATTTTTCTCTGTGTGAAAACGCAGTGATTCAACTGTGCATATGTCACCTCCTGAGGGTCTTGTTCATCAGAGTCCTGGAGAGAGGGAAATGCTGAGTGAGGGAGGGTGCTCACATTTTCCAGGACTCTTTGGGAATAACACTAGCCACGAGGCTGGGCCGAGGAGCACCTACCTCCCTGTTCACTGTTCTGTTCCCTGCAGGCTCTTGGTCCATTACAACAGCATCTGTAGAAGACGGAAGTCAACAAAACAGCTCAGAGGGCACTTCTGGGCCCTCATTTCATAAGCAGATACCAACATACAGGGGGAGACCATAGGAGCCTGAGGTCCCTCAGTTGCCAACAGCAGACTCAGACATTCTATCTCTCTGAGCTCAAGGACCCATCCCATGAATAGCTCTGAGTTCCCATCCCATTGATTCTGTCTCCCACTTTCTGCCTGTCATGGAACCTTCTCCTGGATGTGAGTGGCTGCAGGGGACATGAGGATACAGTTCAGAATCAGGCAATGGTCTGTGAGCTGAAGGCAGGGACAGGGAGTCTGGTGCTCTCTCTAGAAAGTCCTCCCTCTGTGGCTGCTGCCTTGGGCCAGGGACCATCCTGTCTGTGAGGAACACACACCTGAGTGCTCCCATCCTGCTTCCCCACATGGCCCTGAGCTCTCTGGCCTCTGCTTCGTGAGACTTACTTTTTTTGTTGCAGCACCAGCGATGAAGGAGAAAGAAGAGGAGGAGGATGAAGAGGATGATGACCACTGAGGTCCCAATCAGAACATGCAGGTGTCTGGGGTTACCTGGAAGAAGAGGAGACACCAATAAGAAGCTAATCATAGCAGTTCCTCTTTATGAATTGTCTCACATTTCTTGATTGACAGGTAACCACATACAACACCCCTTTAGGACAAGCACCCAGATGGAGGGAGACCCAGCTTTCTCCTGCTTTCTCAGTTATAGCTCTCATAGTAACCATAGAACGTGTTGAGGATACAACTACTTTAGTTGAGATGTTTGACCCCTTCAAACCTCACATTGAAATTTCACCCCCACTGTGGGAGGTTGGGCCTCTTGAGAGGTGTTTGGGTCATGGAGGTGGATCCATCATGAACAGACCAATGCTGTCCCAAGGAGACGGGGTTAGCAAGTTCCCCTTCTATTAGTTCCTGGAGAGCTGGTTGTTCAAAAGAGCTTGGAAGCTCCATCGCTCCCCCTCCCCCTTGCTCCCTCTCTTGCCGTGTGATCTCTGTGGTCTCTGCACAGACAGACCCTCCTTCCCTTCTGCCAGAGTGGGAGCAGCCTGAGGCCGTCACGAGAAATAGATGCTGGTGCCACGCTTCCAGTACAGCCTGCAGAACTGTGAGGCAAACCAATCTCTTTTCTCTAGAAGTTACCCAGGCTCAAGTGTTCCTTTAGAGCAACAAAAATGGACTAAGACAGCAACGTCCTGAGATCAGGAGGAACGTCTCAGAACAGCCTGGGCTGTCTTCCTGTTCTTCCTGGAGGAGGACGTCATGCAGTGCTTTAGCTGAGTGCTTCCTGTGGCTCCACAGTACAAAACCCAGGCTGGGCTGCTCTCTGGCTTCCCCCAGCTACACTGCAAATGGGGTGACTCCATATGTCCCGAGTAGCTTTTCTGAGCCTTGAGGGACTGGCTCACATTGAAATGTAGGTTTCTGTTGTCACTCGCTGCTTATCTGTTAGTAATGAACCTGCCTGTGTAATGTATTCTCTGTGTGTTCTGTCTCCCTGGAGTGACGGTGAGTGATAGGAATTGGCATAAGCCCAGGTGCAGTCCAGGAGGTATTTAGAGTCTTCTCTGGGAAGACTGCACTGGGATTGATACACAGCGAATGTGCTTTAGGATTTCTACATCCACAGCATTCTTGAATCAAACAACTTGCATTCTCCAAGAAAAGGAAACAAAAGTGAAATCAAGATAAAAAAAGCTAAGTAGAATTCTCTTATGTCAAATGGCCAGGAAATAGTGTTGAAGCCCGTGTGAAACGTGCTACTCTTTGTGATCTCGGGAGACACATGTTAGGCTGCTGTTCTACCCGAGAGGCTGGGGGAAGGACCACCCCCTCGGCCATCTATTGCTTCAATACCACCTGTCCTCCTGTGAATTAGTAGGAAAGAGGAGCAGGAGCTAGTGCTGGCACTGATCTCTGATTCCAAGATCTGGACTCACTCCAAGGAGTATCAATGTTTACCTCCCCATAGCCTATCTGAATCTCCACAGGTGATTGGAAGTAGGGGTGAGGTGGGGGATTTGGGTGAGTGGGCAAGTTTTTTGTTGCGATGAACAGAGCACTTTCTCTATTCCACGATCTGTGCTGGAGGATTCTGAGGGCTTTCACATTTTCTATGTGATCTCATTCTCACAGAAAGCCAAATAGGGAAGAGGTTTTAAGCTCATTGCCTAATGGATAAGATAAAGGATCAAAGAAGTAATTATAGAGAAATAGAAAAACGATGATTGGAATTCAGGTGCCTTTGTCATTCGTGTGTGTTTTATTATATTTATGTATTTCTTATTTTTATTTTTTGAGATAGAGTCTCCTTGTGTCCCCCAGGCTGGAGTGCAGTGATGCAATCTCCACTCACTGCAACCTCCACCTACTGGGTTGAAGTCATTCTCCTGCTTCATCCTCCAGAATAGGAGCTGGGATTACAGGGATGCACCATCGTGCTCGGCTAATTTTTGTATTTTTAGTAGAGATAGGGTTTCACCACGTTGGCCAGGCTGGTCTGGAACTCCTGACTTCATGGAATCCACCCACCTTGGCCTCCTGCAGTGCTAGGTTACAGGCGTGAGCCACTGTTCACAGACTTGTATATTATGCTATAATAAGTCTCTTCATTTCCACCACCACTCATATATCTGTCACTCCTTTGCCAGGTATTGATTTATGTGTAGGATGAATAAATCTCAGAAAGAAATTAATTAAGCGAGGATTAAACAAGTAGGAAAATCAAACCCAGTAAGCCTTTCCAGTCAATGATTCTACCTCACAAACATATCTTATATCCATCTACTTCATTCATTTAGTGTCTAAATCAGCACCACATTTCACCAGTGGGGTGGCAATTGCCTTTTCCACGGTCTCCTAGATTCCAGTTATGCAACTGAGCCTCCCTTATTTTCATGTCAGTCATATTAATCATGTAGGGATTCCTGGTTACCCCGAGGTGAATCCAATGGCTGTGAGTGTCAAACACACACTCCTTGTTGCTCCTTAGTTTCCTGTGTACCCAGTGTGCTCTCCGTCTCTCTACAGTCGTCTTGTCATTCTCCCCACATCATTCCCAGCATTTGAGGCAGAGCCTCTTCCTTCCACATCAGATTGTTTTCACCTTTGTGCCTTCACGGCTGACAGCTGTGTGTGCAAAATCCTTCCGCCAATCTTTCAGGGGTTCAATCCGTGTTTTTCATTAATGTCACAAATATCTGAATAGTGAGACCTTCTTTGTCACCTGAAATCATACACTCAGCATTATCTATTATTGATTTTGAATTCTGGCTGGGCACAGTGGCTCACGCCTGTAGTCCCATTACTTTGGCATGCTGAGACGGTCGGATCACTTGAGGTTGGGAGTTTCAGACAAGCTTGGCCAACGTGGTGAAACATCCTCTCTACAAAAAATATACAAAAAGAATTAGCCGGGCACGGTGGCAGTTGCCTGTAATCCCAGCTACTCGAGAGGCGGAGGCAGGAGAATCACTTGAATCCAGGAGACGCAGGTTGCAGTGAGCCAAGATCGTGACACTGCACTGTAGCCTGGAAGACAGAGGGCGACTCTGTCTCAATAAACAAAAGAACAAACAAAAAATAGATTTCATGCACAGATGCTTCCCAATGGATCATTCATTTATAGATCCACTTGTGCATTCATTTTCTGCCCTCCCATTTAACCATCTGCAATATCAGTGTCCCAAGGGCAGAAGCCAAATGCATCTTGTTCACCGTTTGTGGAAGGCAGGAGAATGCTGTCCCACCCCAAAATGTCCCTGTCCTAGCCTCCATAGCTTGTGAATATGTTATTTTACATGGAAAGGAGGAATGAAGATTGTAGATGGAATTGCGGTTGCTAATCAGCTGAACTTAAAACAAGGGTATCCTGGATGATTTCCAGGAGATTATGAGGGATTTTCATCTTGGTGAACCCAATAGAATCCCCAAGTTTTCAAAAGATAAGGAAGAAGGGAGAGCAGCATTCAGAGAAAGAGGTGTGGTAAGGAAGAAGGCACTGAGTGATGCCATGTGAGATGTGACCAGTCTTTGTGGGCTTTGAGGAAGGAGGAAGGGGAACAGGAGCCAAGGAACTGGGAGCCTTTAGAAGCTGGGATAAGTGAGAAGCAGATTCTTGCCTGGAATCCTCAGAGGGAAGGCAGCCTTGCTGTCACCTTGATTTTAGCCCAGTAAGATGCACTTCCTACTTTGAGCTACAGCACTGTAAGATAATTAAAAAACCGTTTTGTTTTCACCCACGAATCTTGTGGAAATTTGTTATGGCAACAATAGGAAAAGGTTCCGCACTGCACAGCCTGAGCATGGGGCCGTGGCTGAATGAGTCAGTGAGTCGAAGTGTGCGTGCATGAGCTCCGTTCTCTGTTACGGCAAGGCTGTTGCTCTGCTGAGTCAGCCAGGGTTGCTTCATGACCAACAGTAATTCATTCCTTGGCAAGTGGAACTTCTCTAAAACACCTCGCCCTCATCAGATGTTCCCTTCCCTTCCCTCTCTCAAGCCCCCAGGAATTTATCCTCCAGTTAGGAATGCAGGCAGAACAAACATTGCATTTTTCCTGAGAAGGATGTCAGATTGGCAATCATTCTTCTAGCTTGTAGGAGGTCTCAGCTCCATAAAATGAGAGATTAAGAGATTTCACTGAGCCCTAGGTTGGGCCCAGATCCCTTTCGCTGTTGGAGTATCTGGAGTTCGGAGATGGTAGAAGACAGGCGTACAATGTCAGAGCTGCGAGATGCTGAGTCAATGCCTGCATCGAAGGTTTCTACCTCCCCAGGTTTCCAAAAGCGGATATAAGAGGGTTCTGTACTCACCGGTTTCGGAGCTTGGTTCAGTGGGTGAAGGCCAACTATTTGAAGGGTTTCCTAGAACACGAGACAGGAGAGAGGTGAGGAAATGAGGGTGTCTGTCCTCTACTCAATGGAAATCTTTGAGGTTGGTTCATGGCCAACACTCTGTTATCTAATATTGGGCCCTGGGAGTCCTGGGATCCTTTTTTCCGTAATTTTTGTATGTGACGCCCACTGTCTTGAGACTTCAAGGTATAAAGAGAAAACAGGAGCATCACACTACCTGATCTCAAAATATGTTACAGAGCTGTAGTAAGCAAAACAGCATCACATTGGCATAAAGAAAGGCACGTAGAACAATGGAGCAGAATGAAGAACACAGATATAATCCATGCATTTACCTCCAATGTTTTTTTCTTTTTTCTTTTGAGATGGAGTCTCGCTCTGTCACCCAGGCTGGAGTGCAGAGGTGCAATCTCGGTTCACTGCCACCACAGCCTCCTGGGTTCAATCAATTCTCTGGCCTCAAACTCCTGAGTAGTGGTATTACAGGTGCTGACCACCATGCTCAGCTAATTTTTATATTTTTAGTGGAGACAATGTTTCATCACGTCGGCCAGACTAATCTTGAACTCCTGGCCTCAGGTGATCCACCCGCCTTGGGCTCCCAAAGTGCTGAAATTGCAGGTGTCAGCCACCATGCCCAGCCCATCCAATGGACTTTGACAAAGGTGCCAAGAACTCACAATCAGGAAAGGACAGTCTTTTCAATAAACAGTGCAGGGAAACCTGGACATCTACATGCAGAGGAATGAAACTGCACCTCTACCTGTCACTATACACAAAACTCAAATGAAAATGGATTAAAGATGTGAGTCTAAGGCCTGAACCTATGAAACACGTAGAAGAAAATATTGGGGAAATGCTCCAGGACATTTGTCTGAAGGAAGACATTTTGTTTTAAACCTTCAAAACACAAGTAATCGAAGCAAAAATAGACCATTGGGATTACCTCAAACTAAGCAACTTCTGCACCGCTAAAAATAAACCAACAAAGTGAAGAGACAACCCACAGATTGGGAGCAAATATGTGCAAACTATGCATCTGAGATGGGATTAATAACTAGAAATATAAGAAGCTCAAACAACTCAATAAAACAAACGATTTAATTGAAAAAGGAGCAAAACACATGAAATTTCCCCACATACTAAAAAGTGCTCAGTTTCACTCATCATCAGAGAAACACAAATTAAAATCAAAGTGAGTTTTCATCTCACCCCATTAAAATGGATTTTAGGCCGGGCGTGGTGGCTCACGTCTGTCATCCTAGACCTTTGAGAGCCTGAGGTGGGTGAACCTCATAAGGTCGGGAGTTTGAGACCAGTCTGACCCACATGAAGAAACACTGTCTCTACTAAAAATACAAAATTTAGTTGGGCGTGGTGGCGTGTGCCTGTAATTCCAGCTACTCGGGAGGCTGAGGCAGGAGAATCGCTTGAACCTGGGAGGTGGAGGTTGTGGTGAGCCGAGATCGCACCACTGCACTCCAGCCTGGGTGACAAGAGCGAAACTCCATCTCAAAATAAAATGAAATAAAATAAAATGGCTTTTAGCTGCAAGACAGGCAAAGGAAATCCTGCCAAAGTGGTAGAGAAAGGAGAACCCTAATACCCTGTTGGTAGGAGTGTAAATTAGTACAGCCTTTACGGAGAAAAGTGTGGAAGTCCTTTAAAGAACTAAAAAGAGGTTGGGTGAGGTGGATCATGCCTGTAATCCCGGCACTTTGGGAGACCGAGGCGGGCACCTCAGTTGAGGTCATGAGTTTGAGAGCAGCCCAGCCAACATGGGGAAACCCCATCTATACTAAAAAAAACAAAAAGTAGCCAGGCATGGTGGCGTGCACCTGTAATCCCAGCTACTAGGGAGGCTGAGGCAGGAAAATCATTTGAACCCAGGAGGCGGAGGTTGCAATGAGCCAAGATGACTTCACTTGTACTCCAGCCTGGGCACAGAGGGAAACTGTCTCAAAAACAAAAACAAAACAACAAACGAATAACTAAAAAGAGAACTTTCATAGTATCCAGCAATTTCACTACTGGGTTTATATCCAAAGGAAAGTAAATCAATATATCGAAGTGATATCTGCACTCGTATGATTGGTGCAGCACTGTTCACAGTAGCCAAGATGTGGAGTCAACCTACCTGCCCATCAGTGGATGAATGGATAGAGAGAATGTAGTACATACGCACAGTGGAGACTACTCATCCATAGAAAGAATAACATCCTGATATTTGCAGCCACATGGATGGAACTGGAAGTCATTACAAAGATTCCCATTTCTCACCCATATACAGAGCTAAAAGGTGGATCTCATGAAGGTAGAGAGTAGAATGGTGGCTTCCAGAGGCCAGGAATAAAAGGGTGGAGGGTAAAAAAAAAAAAAAAAAAATATATATATATATATATATATATATATATATATATATATATATGTTTATATATGTGTGTGTGTGTGTATATATATATATATATATATATATATATATAAATGTATTTATGACCACTAGACTTTACACTTAAAAATGGTAAATGTGGCTGGGCGTGGTGGCTCATGCCTGTAATCCCAGCACTTTGGGAGGCAGATGCGGGTGGATCACGTGGTCAGGAGTTGGAGACCAGCTCGACCAACATGGTGAAACCCCCTCTCTACTAAAAATACAAAAAGTAGCCTGGCGTGGTGGTGCGCGCCTGTAGCACCAGCTACTCAGGTGGCTGAAGCAGGAGAATCACTTGAACCCAGGAGGCGGAAGTTGCAGTGAGCTGAGATTGTGCCACTGCACTCCAGCATAGGGGACAGAGCTAGACTCTGCCTCAAAAAAAAAAAAAATGTTAAAGGTGGTAAGCTATATAGGTATATTTATCCTCAATAAATATTTCTTCAAACAAAAGTAAAGGGTGTAGGGGTTGCTGGTGATGACATCCCTGTGTGGGTGAGAGGCCAGGATGGGCTTCTGGGAAATGGGTAATGTTGAGGGGCTGAGGGAACCTCTGATCTTCCCAAACTGAGCCCAGTCTCTCTCCTCTGGGTCTCTCCTGACCGTTTTCTCCATCTGCCTGTGTGCCTGGAGCCCTGGCCGCGGGCCTTCATGCAGGCCGTGTAGGAGGGTTTGGAGGTGCCCTGTCTGCCATCCTGTGCCCTGATCCCTCCCTCACACCCAAGCTTCGTCTTCTCTCTGCATCTGTCCATGCTTCTCTCCATCATCAGCAGGAAGCTCCTCAGCTAAGGCTCTAGGATCATAGGACATGAGACAGATATGGGGTTTCCTCACCTGTGACAGAAACAAGCAGTGGGTCACTCGAGTTTGACCACTCGTATGGAGAGTCACGGAAAGAGCCGAAGCATCTGTAGGTTCCTCCGTGGGTGGCAGGGCCCAGAGGAAAGTCGGCCTGGAATGTTCCGTTGACCTTGGGCCCTGCAGAGAACCTACGTTCATGGGCCTCCCCCTCCCTGGATAGATGGTACATGTCATAGGAGCTCCGGGAGCTGCAGGACAAGGTCACGCTCTCTCCTGCCAGAACCGTGGGGCCCGGCTGGGCTGAGAGAGAAGGTTTCTCATATAGACCTGGAGGAGAAGAGGCATTTTCCTTACGGAGGATCTTCCTTGTCACAGCTCCCTTCACCTGAGCTGAGAACTCACTCCCCTGCTCTATGACCTAATGCTCTCTCTCTCTCTCTCTCTCACCCTCCACCCCATCTCTCTTCATGTCTATTTCCTTCTTCCACCTTCTCTGTCTCTCTAGGTCTCTGACCTCGCTTCCCCACCTCTAGATATGTTTTCCCTTTTTGGATTCTTTTATTCTCTCTGACTCTCCTTGGATTGGTTGACTTGATGTTACTTTTTTAAATTCTAAGTTTCTCACGTTGTGTCCTGTTCATAACTTTCTGCATATTTCTATCTATTATCTGTCGATCTATCTATTTATCTATTCGGTGCCTATCTACAAATTCTCTACCTGTCATCTATATCTATATATCATCTATGTATCTATCACTTGTCTATCTATCCATCAATCATCTGTTATTTATATGTATGTATCATCTCTCTCTCTATGATTTCTGTCTGCCTCTCTATCTGTACGTATTATCTGTCTTCATCATCATCATCTCTATGTATTATCTATTAATGAATCAATCAATCATCATCTATGTATCTTTAACCTATTATCTATCATCTACCTATTTATCATCTATCTATATCTATCCATCTATCATCTGTCTTGCTCTGCCTCTCGGTCTCTCTAGTTCTCTTTGGAATCTCTGCAATTCATCCCCACATCTCCATGTTTCTATGTCCTTGTGCCTCTCTCTCAGGACTCTAATTTTAGTGCTTTTCTCTGCTCCCTGCCATCATTCTCACCACTCCTCTGCCCTCTTTTCTCTCTCTTTATGTGTCTGTGAGTCTCTCAATCTCCTTCCTCTGGCTCATTCTCTGTGTGTTTATGTCTTTGCTTTTTGGTGTTCCTGATTTTTCTCTGTGCCTCTCAGTGATCCTTTCATATGTGGGGTTATTTGGAATGTGAGCCACAGAATCCAGTCTGGAGACCACAAGTTCACACAGCATACAGGGGTTGGTGTTCTGGGGCCATGATATCCTGGGACGATTACTCTCCATTACATGGAAGGCAGAGGTGTCAGAATAAACATGGCCTGTAGGTGCCACAAGGCCTGAGGCCACAGGGCCCAACTCAGGTCATAAATATGGGTGTCCTTGGGTTCTCCTGGTAGAGAACACTTTGTGGAGGTAAAACAGAAATGAAACTTCTAACCTGTGCCAGGTCTGTGAGCAAAGTCAGCATGGAGGGACACCTCTCTCTGGGACATGTCTGTCTGTCTGTCTCTTTTAACTCTTTCTGTCTTTTCTAACTCCCTGTATGGCCCCTGTGTCTGTCCTCTGTTATGACACCTGGTCTGTACTTGTGTCTCCTGTTTCTCTGTCTCTGTTGGTACAAACCTCAGCAAGTCAGTCTCTCTCCATAAGAATACCAAGCTCATCTTCCTTACAACTACCTGGGGGTTCCAAGTCGTGGATCATTCACTCTGCATCCCAATGACAATGAGAATGTCCGGACACTCTCACCTGTGATGACGATGTCCAGAGGGTCACTGGGAGCTGACAACTGATAGGGGGAGTGAGTAACAGAACCGTAGCATCTGTAGGTCCCTGCAAGGTCTTGCATCATGGGACCGATGGAGAAGTTGGCCTTGGAGACCCCATCATGGTGCTCTCCAATGAGGTGCAAAGTGTCCTTAAACTTCCCTTCTCTGTGCAGAAGGAAGTGCTGAAACCTGACATCTGACCAACATTGCAGGATGACTGTCTCTTCTGATTTCACCAGGGGACCTGGGTGGGCCAGGAGGGAAGGTTTTCTGTGGACTCCTAGGAAGAGAGGTTGTGAGTTTAGAAGGTGTCTCTCTTTATCATCCCATCCATGGCACCTAGAATGAGTGAGGCTTCCCCTTGCTGGTGTCTGTCTCTCTCCTTCCTCTCTGTGTCTTCATGTTCTTTTCTGTGCCCTTAACTCCTGGTGCAGGTCCTTCCATCTGTCTCCCTCCCTCTTCTCTGTCCCTCTGTCTCTAGTAGCCTCTGATTCCCTTCCCACTGGGCTGAGCCTCATCTCTTGGGGTGTTGTATCTATTTCACACTAATGTATTTCCTGCTGTTTATGTGGGGGTGAAAGAGGAACCAGGATAGGCTGCACATCCAGGCTCTTATCAGCCTGGTTCAATCTCTTTTGGATGAATTGCAATCCTTGGCAGAAGGTATGAACTGATGAATAAGGCAGGCACCAGTGTCCACACACCCTGTTCCTGGTGGGGACTGGGAGCCACTCTTGCCATGCCTGTGCCTTCTCCATGGTGCCAGCTTCCATAGGCTGGCTCCTGGTGCTGGTTGGAGGAGTATCAACCCCTCCCTATGTGGATGGAGCCTGGTGGTGGCATCATCATCCCACCCTTGCTGATCTCAGGGTAGCCAACCTTCTCCTTGTTTGGTTTCTTTAATTAATTAATTAATTATGGAGACAGAGTCTCACTCCTTCACCCAGGCTGGAGTGAAGTGGTGTGGTCTAGGCTCACTGCAACCTCTGTCTCCTGGGTTCAAGTGATTCTCCTGCCCTCAGCCTCCTGAGTCGCTAGGATTACATGCACCTGCCACCATGCCTGGCTTTCCTTGGGTTGTTTCTTAACTTGTCCTTGACCTGGGTTCCAGTGTTGGTTTCCTGTTGCTGCTGTAGAAAATTATCAGAAGCATGGCAGCAGGAGAGACCACACTGACACCTTCCAGTACTGGAGACAGAAATTGGACCCTATTTTTCCTGGGCTAAAATCAAGGCATCTGCAGGGCTTTGTTCCCTCTGGAGACTCTGGAGAATCAGTTCCTTGACTTTTCCAGCCTCTATAGGCCACCTGCATTCATGGATCTTGGCCTTCCTCCACCTTCAAAGCTGGTGAAGACTTCCACTGGACTGCTCTAATCCCCACTCCCCTCTTCCTCCTCCTTTCATGTGCACCCTTGTGATTACACTGAGCCCAGTGGGACAGTCCAGGCTGTCTCCCCATGAGCTCCATCTTCCCCTTCAGTCCCTTCCCCTATAACATAAATAGTCACAGACTCCAGGGATTAGAATGTAGTCATCACTGGGGACAATTATTCTTCCCACCACAGCACCCATTTCCCTGTATTCAATCCCCCTTTACCACAAATACAGTCAGGGCCTGCGTGATGGGACCCTCAAGGACATGCCCAACAGAAGCTCTGGGATTCAGGAGGTGGGACAAGGAGAATCCAAGACAGGAGCCCTCTGACCTATGACCACGATCACCAGGGGGTTGCTGGGTGCTGACCACCCACTGGGGGAGTGTGTGTGTGAACCCCGACATCTGTATGTCCCTGTGTGTGCGGGGGTCACAGGGCCCATGAAAAGGCTGTTCCAGAATATTCTGTTGTAGAGCTCAGGGACAGGCACCCCACCTTCCTTTTACAGACTGAAGTTGTTAAACCCAAGATAAGAGTGACACCGAAGAATGACATGTCCTAGAGGCACCACAAGGCTGGGCCAGGCAGACAGCAAGGGCTTGTCCTGACCACCTTGGGGAGAAGGAGGCGCCGCCTTAGAGAGGAGGATGTGGAACTGCCCTTCCCTCCCTGTGCTCAGAAGATTCTCCTCGCTTTCCACGTTTCTATGGCTACTATCACACCTTGGTGCCCAGGGCTGAAGGAAGGACCCATCCCGCAAAGACATGGTGTCTCCCTACAACAAAAGCCTCAGCTGAGAACTTTGAGCAAGTGCTGAGTAAAGAGACTCCTACTAGATTTTAATACTGTAAGATTACTCACATAAAACAACACAGGGTAGACATGAGGTGGAGGGCATGTCCTTTGTGAATGGATATCAGCGGATGCCTGAACGAAAATAAACAACTGAGCCCCCATCAGAGGATTTGGAATGTCAGGGCCATGGCTGTGGTTTCCCACCTCTTCTGGTAGAATGACAGCAGCCACACTGCAGCCCCTACCATCATGGAAACGCTGAAGTGTGTGAGTAACACCTTTGTCCTCAGAGGATCTGCTGTTCCTACCACTTCCCAACCACACACCCCAGCTTTGAGCACCCCAGTCTAACCCTGGTCCCCACAGAACTTGACTCTGCCAAGGGGTTGAGAGGCCAGGGAGGCGAGGTCAGAAATGTGGGCTGAGCACCCCAGGGTCCTCTCTTCCTAGTTTATGAGAGACTCCCCGACAGGACTTCCCTCCTGTTTCAGGAAAATCCTCTTATGTGGGGAGATGACACCCGAAGGTTTGGAGAAGGACTCACCCTCATGTGGCCAGGCCCCCTGCAGCAAGAAGAACCCTGGAAAGAAAGATCATGATGGACCATCCATCTGCAGGCAAACCAGGCCTCCCTTGCTGCCCCCACTGGGCTGTGAGTCTTGGCAGCCAGGCCCTTCCTGGGCTGAAGTTAAACTCACCCTCAGTGCCTACCTGCACCCAAGAACAGGGCTGTCGGCTGTGCAGAGACCCAGTTTCCAGGCCCATATCCCCACCCCAAGCCCATATCTCCACTCCAGGCTGATATTTCCACCCTAGGCCCATATCGCCAATCCAGGCTCAGATCTCCACCCTAGGCCCCTATCTCCAATCCAGTCCCATATCTCCGCCCCAGGCCCAGATCTCCACCCTAAGCCCATATCTCCACTCCAGGCCCATATCACCTCTCCAGTCCCATATCTCCACACCCAGGCCCATATCTCCTTCCTAGGCCCATATCTCCACTCCAGGCCCAGATATCCATCTCTAGGCCCATAACTCCACTCCTGGCCCATATCTCCACTCCAGGCCCATATCTCTACTGCAGGCCCGTATCTCCACCTCCAGACCCATATCTCCACTCCAGGCCCATATCTCCACCTCCAGGCCCATATCTCCACCTCCAGGCCCATATCTCCACTCCAGGCCCATATCTCCACTCCAGGCCCCTATCTCTACTGCAGGCCCATATCTCCATCTCCAGGCCCATATCTCCATCTCCAGGCCCATGTCTCCACTACAAGCCCATATCTCTACTGCAGGCCCATATCTCAACCTCCAGGCCCATATCTCCACTCCAGGCCCAGATCTCCACTCCAGGCCCAGATCTCCACTTCTAGGCCCATCACTCCATCTCTAGGCCCATAACTCCACTTCCAGGCCTATATCTCCAACTCTGGGCCCCGATCTCCATCCCCGCACTCCCTCCCTCGATGCCCTTCCAGGACTCACCAACACACACCATGCTGACGACCATGAGCGACATGGTGCTGTCTGTGCAGACAGGCGGCCGCGCCCCAGCTCAGCTCAGCAGCGCACAGGATGTTATTTGGCGCCCTGCCCATGCAGTTTACATGTTGACCACATCATGGGAGGGTGACGTACGCAGGCTCTTTCTACCTTGCATGAGGCCCAGTGGGTGCTCGCTCAAGAGCGGAACATGGCTTCCTGGAAATTGTTCTCACTAGAATTGACACCTTGCGTCCTTCACTACGACCAGACTCAAAAGACGTCTCAGATCCAACCTCTCATACACGAGATGATTGAATTCTGTGCTTACATTAAAGATTTTTGATGTATTTTTGTTTTTATCTGAGATTCAAACTCTTCTTCATATGTAATGTGCAAAATGTCTAACAGGTATTATTAACATTATCAGAGTAATTGTGACAAGAAGCCATTCTAATTTTCCTGCTTGAGTTTCTACTACTAAACCAGAGGCATCAGAATAGCTTGAACCTGGGAGACGGAGGTTGCAGTGAGCTGAGCTCAAGCCACTGAACTCCAGCTTGGGTGACAGAGGAAGAGTCTGTCTCAAGAAAAAAAAAAAAAGCAAACTAAATAACCTATAATAACAAATCAGAGGACTCAGGTTACCAAATTTTAAGGGGTTCTATAAGTTTATATAAAATGCAGCATCCTCATGAGAGGGGATACAGAGAACCACTGGACAGAAAACTGTGTCTAAAATACATCTGTGGATACACAGTCCCTTTATAGTTGACAAAGGCTGCCATGTAGTTTAAGGTGGAATAGAATATTTTCTCAACAAATAACACAGGACCATAGGGTTACACGTAGGAAAAAATAAATCTAAACTTATCCTCACACTATAAAAACACTTCTTATTTTTTATCTTGTTGTTGTAAATTTTTTATGCTTTATTTTTAAGATTGACAAATAAAAATTATATACCATGGTCCTTCACTATACCTGGGTGATTGGTTCCAGGATCCCCATTCAGATACCAAAATCTGCAGATGCTCAAGCCCCTTGCATGAAATGGCATAGTGAAGCTGGGCACCGTGGCTCACGCCTGTAATCCCAGCACTTTGGGAGGCTGAGCTGGGTAGATCACAAGGTCAGGAGTTCAAGACCAGCTGGTCCAACATTCTGAAACCCCATCTCTACTAAAAATATACACACAAAAAAATTTATCTGTGCAGGGTGGCACGTGCCTGTAATCCTAGGGGAGGCTACTGGGGAGGCTGAGGGAAGAGAATCGCTTGAACCTGGAAGGCGGAGGTTGCAGTGAGTTGAGATCACGCCACTGCACTCCAGCCTGGGTGAGAGAGTGAGACTGTCTCAAAAAAAAAAAAAATAGCATAGCAATTGCATAGAACCCATGCACATCCTCCTGTATACATGAAATCATCTCTTGATTACTTATAATTCCTGACACAGCCTACACGCCACTCAATTTGTGTCGATTCAACATAGTTTTTTGCTTTTTGAAACTTCGGGGATTTTTTTTCTCAAAATATTTTTGATTTATTGCTGATTCAATAAACATGTGTAAACCCCAGAGATATGGAGGAGTGACTGTCTATTTATAGTAGTATGAAAGATGATGTGTTGATACGTGTCCCTGTGGAGATGAGACTAACAAGGCCTATGACTCTACAAATGTTTCATCGTGGAATGACTCTGCCAGCTTTCCAGATCTGCAGAGAGTAAGAATATCACTTGTTCATCTGATTCACCATCCTTGGAACCTCCTATGTGCTGCATCTTTGGATGGAAATTGGAGTCTCAGAGACAATTCAGGCTCCACCCTGCTTCCAGAAGCTCAGAGTCCAGGGGTGAGAACCCAGCGGAGAACAGATGGGGTTATGTGGACGTGGTAATGATAACACCGGAAGCCTTAGGCAAGAAAAGAGTCCCATTGACGAAACCATGAGGGCAGACATGTTTACTTGAAGAAGAGAAAACTACATTGAAATTATAAAAAAAATTTATAAGTTTTACTGCTGACAGAAGGCTGAAAGATACTCTGAGGAAAGGTGGAATAGCACGTATCTAAGTGCCGTGTTAAGAGGGAGCCTCTTATATGTTTGGAATTGTGAGTTCCTCAGTGTGATCGCAGCCTCAAGTAGACTAGGAAGTAAGCCAGTTAGGTTGGAGAGGTGGGCAGGGGTCAAGTGAAATGGAGAATTGTGGGCTAAGCAAGTGTGTTTTCTCTCCAGCAGGCAGTGGGGACCTTAGACATTTGTAAGCAAGAGAGAGGCATGTTCAGATTCGTGGTGTGAGGAAGAGCGATGCCCTAAGATGCAGACTCACGCCTTCAGAGTCCAGCTGCTGGTACATGGGAGCTGGCAACCCGGTTTTGAGACAGGGCTATTGTCTCCCTAGAAGATCCCATCAAGGCCTGACTGTGGTGCTAGTGGACAGAAGACAACTTTGGATCTGCGCTCAGCATTTGGAAGTTCCGTGTTACACGCTGGTATCTGTTGGGGGTGTCTTGGGCCTCTGAGAAGGGCGAGTGATTTTTCTCTGTGTGAAAACGCAGTGATTCAACTGTGCGTATGTCACCTCCTGAGGGTCTTGTTCATCAGAGTCCTGGAGGGAGGGAAATGCTGAGTGAGGGAGGGTGCTCACATTTTCCAGGACTCTTTGGGAATAAGACTAGCCACGAGGCTGGGCGGAGGAGCACCTACCTCCCTGTTCACTGTTCTGTTCCCTGCAGGCTCTTGGTCCATTACAACAGCATCTGTAGAAGACGGAAGTCGTCAAAACAGCTCGGAGGGCACTTCTGGGTCCTCATTTCATAAGCAGATACCAACATACAGGGGGAGGCCATAGGTGCCTGAGGTCCCTCAGTTGCCAACAGCAGACTCAGACATTCTATCTCTCTGAGCTCAAGGATCCATCCCATGTATAGCTCTGAGTTCCCATCCTATTGATTCTGTGTCCCACTTTCTGCCTGTCATGGAACCTTCTCCTGGATGTGAGTGGCTGCAGGGGATGTGAGGATACGGTTCAGAATCAGGCAATGGTCTGTGAGCTGAAGGCAGAGGCAGGGAGTCTGGTGCTCTCTCTAGAAAGTCCTGCCTCTGTGGCTCCTGCCTTGGGCCAGGGACCATCCTGCCTGTGAGGAACACACACCTGAGTGCTCCCATCCTGCTTCCCCACATGGCCCTGAGCTCTCTGGCTTCTGCTTCGTGAGACTTACTCTTTTTGTTGGCACACCAGCGATGAAGGAGAAAGAAGAGGAGGATAGCAAAGGGGATGATGACCACTGAGGTCCCAATCAGAACGTGCAGGTGTCTGGAGTTACCTGGAGGAAGACAAGACACCAATAAGAAGCTAATCATAGCAGTTCCTCTATATGAATTGTCTCACATTTCTTGATTGACAGGTAACCACATACAACGTCTCTTTAGGACAAGCACCCAGATGGCGGGAGACCTAGCTTCCTCCTGCTTTCTCAGTTGTAGTAACCATAGAACGTGCTGAGGATACAACTGCTTTAGTTTAGATGTTTGACCCCTTCAAACCTCACATTGAAATGTAACCCCCAGGGTGGGAGGTTGGGCCTCTTGGGAGTTGTTTGGGTCATGGAGGTGGATCCATCATGAACAGATCAATGCTGTTCCAAGGAGACGGGGTTAGCAAGTTCCCCCTCTATTAGTTCCTGGAGAACTGGTTGTTAAAAGAGCTTGGAAGCTCCATCGCTCCCCCTCCCCCTTGGTCCCTCTCTTGCCGTGTGATCTCTGTGGTCTCTGCACAGACAGACCCTCCTTCCCTTCTGCCAGAGTGGGAGCAGCCTGAGGCCGTCACAAGAAATAGATGCTGGTGCCATGCTTCCAGTACAGCCTGCAGAACTGTGAGGCAAACACATTTCTTTTCTTTAGAAGTTACCCAGGCTCAAGTGTTCCTTTAGAGCAACAAAAATGGACTAAGACAGCAACGTCCTGAGATCAGGAGGAACATCCCAGAACAGCCTGGGCTGTCTTCCTGTTCTTCCTGGAGGAGGACGTCATGCAGTGCTTTAGCTGAGTGCTTCCTGTGGCTCCAGGGTACAAAACCCAGGCTGGGCTGCTTTTTGATTTCCCCCAGATACACTGCATATGGGGTGACTCCCCATGTCTCGAGCAGCTTTTCTGAGCCTTGAGGGACTGGCTCACATTGAAATGTAGGTTTCTGTTGTCACTCGCTGCTTATCTGTTAGTAATGAACCTGCCTGTGTAATGTGTTCTCTGTGTGTTCTGTCTCCCTGGAGTGACGGTGAGTGATAGGAATTGGTATAGGCCCAGGTGCATTCCAGGAGGTGTTTAGAATCTTCTCTGGGAAGACTGGATTGGGATTGATACACAGCGAATGTGCTTTACAGTTTCTACCACCACAACCCTCTTGACTCAAAAAAAATTACATTCTCCAAGAAAAGAAAGAAAAAATGAAATCAAGATAAAAAAAGTGAAGTAGAACTGACTTAAATCAAACAGCCATGAAATAATGATGTAGCCCAGGAACAACATGCTACTTTTTGTGATCTGCTGAGACATATATTAGGCTGCTATTCCACCCGAGAAGCACGGGGAAGGACCGCCCTCTCCGTCGTTTATTGTTTCAATACAGCCTGTCCTTCTGTGAGTTAGTACGAAATGTGACCAGGGGCTAGTGCTGGCACTGGTCTCTGAGTCCAAGATCTGAGCTCACTCCAAAGAGTATTAGTGTTTACCTCCCCATGATCTATCTGTATCTCCATAGGTGATTGGAAGTAGAGATGAATTGGGGGATTTGGGTGAAGGGGCAAGTTTTATGCCATGAACAGAGCACGTTCTCTATTCCAGGACCTGTGCTGGTGGGTTCAGGAGGCTTTCACATTTTCCATATGATCCCAAGCTCACAGAAAGCCAAATAAGGAAGAGGTTTAACCTGATTGTTTAATGGATAAGATAAAGGGTCAAAGAATTAAACACAGAGAAATAGAAAAATGATGGTTGGTATCCAGTTGCCTTTGTAATTTCTGTGTGTCATAATTATGTATGTTTTATTTTTATTTTTTGAGACAGAGTCCCCCTGTGTCAGGCTGGAGTGCAGTGATGCGATCTCAGTTCAACCTCTGCCTCCAGGGTTGAAGCCATTCTTCTGCTTCAGCCTCCCCAGTCGCTGGGATTACAGGCAGGTGCCAATGCACCAGGCTAATTTTTGTATTTTTAGTACAGACGGGGTTTCACCATGTTGGCCAGGCTGGTCTCAAACTCCTACCCTTAAGTGATCTACCCGCCTTGGCCTCCCAAAGTGTTGGGTTACAGGTGTGAGCCCCCATCCACAGTCTTGTATATTATATTATACTAGGTCCCTTCATTTGCACCACCCCTCATGTGTCTATCGCTCCTCTGCCAGGTATTGATTTAGATGTAGAAAAAAAACACATCTCAGAAAGAAATTAATGAAACAAGGATTAAACTACTAGGAAAAATCAAACCCAGCAAGCCCTCCCTGCAAATGATTCTACCTCACAAGCATAGCTTATATCCATCTTTCATTCATTTAGTGTGTAAATCAACCCTACGTTTCACCAGTGGGGCGGGAATTGCCTTTTCCACGGTCTCCTAGATTCCAGTTACGCACCTGGGCCTCCCTTATTTTCATGTCGGTCACTGTTAATCAGGTAGGGATTCCTAGTTAGCTCTGAGTTGAATCCAAGGGCTGTGAGTATCAAAAACATGCTCCTTGTTCCTCCTTAGTTTCCTGTGTACCCAGTGTGCTCTCCATCTCTCTACAGTTGTCTTGTCATTCTCCCCATCTCATTCCCAGCATTTGAGGCAGAGCCTCTTCCTTGAACTAAGAATGTTTCCACCTTTGTGCCTTCACGGCTGAGAGCTCAGTGTGGAAAATCCTTCCGCCAATCTTCCAAGGGTTGAATCCATTTTTTCCATTAAGGTCACAAATATTATCTGATCAGTGAGACCTTCTCTGTCACCTGAAATTATATACTCAGCATTATCTATTACTTATTTTAAATCCTGGCTGGGCGCAGTAGCTCTCGCCTGTAATCTTTGCACTTAGGGACGCTAAGGCGGTGGGATCACTTGAGATTGGGAGTTTGAGACAGCCTGCACAACATGGTGAAACCTCATTTCTACTAAAAAATATACCAAAAAAATTAGCCGAGTGTGGTGGCGCACAGCTGTAATCCCAGCTACTCGGTAGGCTGAGGCAGGAGAATTGCATGAACCCAGGAGGCAGAGGTTGCAATGAGCTGAGATTGTGCTACTGCACTCCAGCCTGTGGAACAGAGAGAGACTCTACTCAAAAAAAAAAAAGAAAACAAAAAACACACACACACACAAAAAACCCCAGATTTGGTGCACAGATGCTTCCCAATGGATCATTCATTTATTGGTACCCTTGTGCATTCATTCTCTGCCCTCGCATTTACCCATCTGCAATATCAGCGTCCCAAGAGCAGAGGCCAAATGCATCCTGTTTACCATTTGTGGAAGGCAGGAGAATGCTGCCCCACCCCCAAAATGTCCCTGTCTTAGCCTCCATAGCTTGTGAATATGTTATTTTACAGGAAAGGAGGAATGAAGATTGCAGATGGCATTACGGTTGCTAATCAGCTGAACTTAAAAAGAGGGTACGCTGGATGATTTTAGGGAGATTGAGATGGATTATCTTGGTGACCCCAATAGAATCCCAAAGTCCTTAAAAGATGAGGAAGAAGGCAGAGCAGGATTCAGAGAAAAAGGTATGGGTAAAGAAGAAGAGTCTGAATGATGCCATGTGAGACGTGACCAGCCTTTGTGGGCTTTGAGGAAGGAGGAAGGAGGAAGGGGACCAGGGGCCCAGGAACGTGGGAGCCTCTAGGAGCTGGGAAACGTTAAGGAGCAGATTCTTGCTTGGAACCTTAAAAAGAAATCCAGCCTTACTGTCCCTTTGATATCAGCCCAGTGAAATGCAGTTCATACTTCTGAGTTACAGCACTGTGAGATAATTAAGAAAAACATGTTTTCATCCACGAAGCTTGTGGAAATTTGTTATGGCAACAATAGGAAAAGATTCCACACTGCACAGCCAGAGCATGGGGCATTGGCTGAACGAGTGAGTGAGTGGAAGTGTCGTGTGCATAAATAAGCTAAATTCTCTCTTACTGCACGTCTCTTGCTCTGCTGAGTCAACCAGGGTTGCATCTGGTACACTGCTGATACGAATGCAAATTAGTACAGCCATTACAGAGGAGAAGAGTATGGAAGTTCCTCAAAAAATAAAATGAGGTCGGGCACAGTGGTTCATGCCTGTAATCCCAGCACATTGGGAGGCCGAGGTGGGTAGGTCACTTGAGGTCAGGAGTTGAAGAGCAGCCTGGCCAATATAGCGAAACTCTGTCTCTACTAAAAATATAAAAATTAGCCGAGTGTGGTGGTGGGAGCCAGTAACCCAGCTACTTGGGAGGCTGAGGCTGGGGAATCTCTTGAATCCTGGAGGTGGAGGTTGCAGTGAGCCCAGATGGCACCACTGCACTCCAGCCTGGGCAACAAGAGTGAAACTGTCTAAAAAAAACAAAAACAAAAACAAAAACCATAAAACAAAATGTAAAAAGACACTTCCAGAGGATCTAGCAATTCCATGACTGGGTGTAAACCCAAAGGAAAGGACATCAGCGTATCGAAGTGACATCTGCACTCCCATGACTGTTCCAGCAGTGTTCACAGTAGCCAAGATGTGGATCAACCTACCTGCCCATCAGTGGGTGAATGGATGGAGAGAATGTGGTACACACACACAATAGGGACAACTCATCCATAGAAAGAGTAACATCCTGTCATTTACAGCCACATGAATGGAACTGGAGGTCATTACAAGTATTTCCATTTCTCACTCATATGCAGGAGCTAAAAGGTGGATCTCACAAAGGTAGAGAGTAGAATGGTGGCTACCAGAGGCCAGGAAGGGAAGGGTGGAGGGTAAAAAAAAAAGAATACTAATTAATTAATTAATTAATTTTGAGAGAGTGTCTCTCTCTGTTGCCCAGGCTGCAGTGCAGTGGCATGATCTCAGCTCACTGCAACCTCCGCCTCCTGCAATTAAGTGCAACTCCTGCCCAACCCTCCCAAGTAGCTGGGACTACAGGCATGTGCCACCATGCTCGGCTAATTATTATCATTATTATTATTATTTTGTATTTTTAGTACAGATGGATTTTCCCCATGTTGGCCAGGGTGGTCTTGAGCCCCTGATCTCAAATGATCCACCTGCCTTGGCCTCTCAAAGTGTTGGGATTACAACAGTGAGCCACCGTGCCCAGCCTATAAATGTATTTATGAACAGTAGACTTCACACTTAAAAATGGTAAAGGTGGTAAATTACATAGGTATATTTCACCTCAATAAATATTTCTTCAAACAAAAAGAAAAGGGTGTAGGCGTTGCTGGTGATGACATCTCTCTGTGGGTGACAGGCCAGGATGGGCTTCTGGGAAGTGGGTAAGGTTGAGGGGCTGAGAGAACCTCTGATCTCCCCAGGCAGAGCCCAGTCTCCCTCCTCTGGGTCTGTTCTGACCTCTTTCTCCATCTGCCTGGGTGCCTGGAACCCTGATCAAGGGCCTCCTTGCAGGCCATACAGGAGGGTTTGGAGGTGCCCTGTCTGCCATCCTGCCCCCTGACCCCGCCCTTACACCCATGCTGTGTGTTCTGTCTCGGCATCTGTCCATGCTTCTCTCCATCATCAGCAGGAAGCTCCTCAGCTATGGCTCTAGGATCACAAGACATGGGACAGGCATGGTGTTTTCTCACCTGTGACAGAAACGGGCAGTGGGTCACTCGGGTCTGACCACGCGTGGGGCAGGGCACGGAAAGAGCCGAAGCATCTGTAGTTCCCTCCGTGGGTCACAGGGCCCAGAGGGAAGTTGGCCTGGAATGTTCCATTGACCCTCAGCACCGCAGTGAGCCTAAGTTCACCGGCCTCTGCCTCCCTGGATAGATGGTAAATGTCAAACAAGCTCCGGGAGCTGCAGGACAAGGTCACATTCTCTCCTGCCTGAACCGTGGGGCCCGGCTGGGCTGAGAGAGAAGGTTTCCCATATAGACCTGGAAGGAGAAGAGGTGGTTTCCTCAGGGAGGTTCTTCGTTGTCACAGCTCTCCTCACACCTGAGCTGAGAACTCACTCCCCTGCTCTATGACTTAATGCTCTCTTTCTCTCTCTCACCCTCCACCCCCATCTCTCTTCATGTCTATTTCCTCCTTCCACCTTCTCTGTCTCTCTAGGTCTCTGACCTCACTTCTCCATCCCTAGCTATGTTTTCTTTTTTTGTACCATTTTATTCTCTCTGACCCTCCTTGGACTGGTTGACTTGATCTTCCTCTTTCTTTAATTCTGAGTCTCTCACTTTCTGTCTTGCTCATAACTTTCTGCATATTTCTATCTACTATCTATTGATCGATCTATCATTTATCTATGTATGTATCTATCATCTATCATCATCTGTGTATCTATGACCTATCTCTCTGTTATCTATCATCTATCAATCAATGTATGTATGTATGCATCTATCCATCTATCATCATGTGTTTATCTTTCTATCTCTCTATATCTATTTATATATCATCTGTCTGTCTTTCTACTTGTCTATCTATATCATCTATCAGTCATTCATCATCTATTTGTCTATCACCTGTCTCTCTATTATCTATCATCTACCTTTTATCTTTCATCTATCTATATCTATCTATCCATCTATCATCTGTCTCTCTCCATCTCCTTGTCTTTCTCTGCCTCTCAGTCTCTCTAGTTCCCTTTTGGAGTCTCTGCAATCCATCCCCACATCTTTATCTTTCCCTGTCTTTGTGCCCCTCCCTCAGGGCTCTGATTTTAGGGCTTTTCTCTGCTTCCTTCCATCATACGCTCCACTTCTCTGCCCTCTTTTTCTATCTCTTTATGTGTCTGTGAGTCTCTCAATTCCCTTCTTCTGGCTCATTCTGTGTGTGTGTTCATGTCTTTGCTTTTTGATTTCCCTGATTTCACTCCGTGTCTCTCTGTGGGCTTTTGTTCTCAGTAATCCTATAACATGTGGTGCTATTTGAATATGAGCCTCAGAATCCAGTATGGGGACTCCAGGAACTCACAACATACAGGGGTTGGTGTTCTGCTCCCTCACCTGGGGCCATGGTGTCCTGCGACGACGACAGCTCCACTGCACGGAAGGCAGAGGTTTAAGAATAAACACAGCATCTGTAGGTGCCACCAGCCTGGGGCCACACGGCCCAACTCAGGCCAGATAGATGTGTCTCTTTGGGTTCTCCTGGGAGAGAACACTTTGTAGAGGTAAAACAGAATGGAACCTTCTAACCTGTGCCTGGTCTCTGAACAAAGTCAGCATAGAAGGACACCTCTCTCTGGGATATATCTGTCTCTCTGTGTCTTCTTTACCTCTTTATCTCTTTTTCTAACACCTTGTATGGCCCCTGTGTCTGGCTTCTATGTTATGACATGAGGTCTGTACTTGTGTCTCCTGTTTCTCTGCCTTTGTTGGTACAGACCTCACCAAGTCACTTTCTCTCCATAGGAACCCCACACTCATCTTCCTCATGACCACCTGGGGCTTCCAGTCCTAGATCATTCACTCCATCTCCCAGCAAGGGTGAGAGGCAGGTCTGTATTCTCTCACCTACGACCACGATGTCCAGAGGGTCACTGGGAGCCGACAACTCATAGGGTAAGTGAGTGACAGAACCAAAGCATCTGTAGGTCCCTGCAAGGGCAGGTGTCATGGGACCCATGGAATAGTTGACCTGGGAACCCGCATCGTGGAGCTGTCCAATGAGGCGCAAGGGGTCCTCAGTGATCCCCTCTCTGTGCAGAAGGAAGCGCTCAAACCTGACATCTGACCAACATTGCAGGATGACCGTCTCTCCCGATTTCACCAGGGGACCTGGGTGGGCCAGGAGGGAAGGTTTTCTGTGGACTCCTAAGAAGAGAGGTTGTGAGTTCAGAAGGCGTCTCCCTTTCTCATCCCATTCATGGGACCTGAAATAAGTGAGGCTTCCCCTCCATGGTGTCTATCTCTCTCCTTCCTCTCTGTGTCTCCGTGTTCTTTTGTGCCCATAACCCCTGTTGCAGGTCCCTCCATCTGTCTCCCTCCCTCTTCCCTGTCTCTCTGTCTCTAGTAGCCCTGATTCCCTTCCCACTGTGCTCAGTGTCACCTCTTATGCTGTTGTATCTGTTTCCCACTAATCTCTTTCCTGGTGTTTATGTGGGGGTGGAAGAGGAACCACGACAGGCTGCATGTCCAGGCTCTTAGCAGCCTGAATCAATCTCTTTTGGACAGATTGGAAAGGCTGGCAGGAGGTACGAACTCATCAGTAAGGCAGGCATCAGTGTCCCTGTTCCTGATGGGGATTGGGAGCCTCTCCTGTCATGTCTGTGCCTTCTCCATGGCCCCAGCTTCCATAGGGTGGCCCCTGGTGCTGGTTCCAGGAGCATCAACCCCTCCCTATGTGGATCGAGCCTGGTGGTAGCATCAGTATCCCACCCATGCTAAAATCAGTGTAGCCAACCTTCTCCTTGTTTGGTTTCTTAACTTGTGCTTCACCTGGGTTCCTGTGTTGGTTTCCTGTTGCTGCTGGAGAAAATTGTCACAAACATGGGGCAGGAGAGAATACAATGACCCCTTCCACTTCTGGAGAACAGAAATCGGACCCAGTTCTCTCTGGGCTAAAATCAAGGCATCTACAGGGCTGTGTTTCCTCTGGAGACTCAGGGAAGAATCAGTTCCCTTGACTTCTCCAGCCCTTAGAGGCCAACTGCCTTTGTGGCTCATGGCCTTCCCCCATCTTCAAAGCCCGCTGTGGCTGATGGAGTCTCCCTCCCACGACGTTGCTCTAACCCCACTTTCCTCTTCCTCCTCCTCTCATGAGGACCCTTGTGATTACTCTGAGCACAGCAGGACAGTCCAGGCTGTCTCCCCATCGCAAGGTCAACCCATCAACAACCTGAGCTCCATCTTCCCCTTCAGTCCCCTGCCCTATGACATAAATAGTCACAGGGTTCATGGATTACCATGTAGCCATCACTGGGGACAATTATTCTTCCCACCACAGCAACTATTTCTCTGTACTGAATCCCCCTTTACCCCAAATACAGTCTGGGCCTGGATGATTGGACCCTGATGGACACCCCCACCAGAAGCTCTGGGATTCAGGAGGTGGGACAGTGAGAAGCCCAGACAGAAAGCCTCTGACCTGTGACCATGATCACCACAGGGTTGCTGGGTGCCGACCACCCAGTGGGGGAGTGTGGGTGTGAACTGCAACATCTGTAGGTCCCTGCATGTGCTGGGGTCACAGGGCCCATGAGAAAGCTGTTCCGGAATATTCTGTTGTAGAGCTCAGGGACAGGCATCCCGTCTTCTTTGGACAGACTGAATTCGTTAAACCCAAGACGAGAGCGACACTGAAGAGTCACATGTTGTCCTTCAGACACCACAGTGCCGGGCCAGGCAGAGAGGAAGGGCTTGTCCTGACCACCTGGGGGAGAAGGAGGCACTACCTTAGAGAGGAGGATGTGGAGCCGCCCCTCCCTCCCTGTGCTCAGAAGATTCTCCCATTTCCACGTTTCTAAGGCTCCTACCACACCTGGGTGCCCAGGGCTACAGGAAGGACCCATCCCGCATAGACATGGCGTCTCCCTACAGCAAGTGTCAGCTGAGAACTTTGAGCAGGTGCTGAAGAAGCGACTCTTACTAGATTTTAACACTGCAAAATTACTTACATAAAAGAACACAAGGTAGACACAGGATGGAGGGCATGATCAGCTAATGCATGAACCATAATAAACAACTGAGCCCCTATTAGAAGATCTGGAATGTCAGGGTCATGACTGTGGTTCCCCCACCTCTTAGGTAGAATGACAGCAGCCACATTGCAGCCCCTACCGTCATGGAAACGCTGGAGGGTGTGAGTTATGCTCTTGTCCTCAGAGGCCTGTTGTTCCTTGCACTGCTTCTCTCCCTTCCTCTGCTGGTGACACCACTTCCTCCCTGCACACCACTCCTTTGAGCACTTCAGTCTCCCCCTGGGTCCCCACAGACTCAGCCAAGGGAAAGAAAGGCCGGGGAGGGCTAGGACAGAACTGTGGCGAAGCTTCCCCTGGCTTCCTTTTCCTAGTTCATGAGAGATTCCCACATGGCTTCCCATGGTCAGCCCATCAGTCAACCCCCTGTGTCGCCTGCCTCCCGTTTCAGGAACATCATCTTATGTGGGGAGATGACAACCTAAGGTTTGGGGGAAGGACTCACCCACATGTGGCCAGGGCCCCTCCAGCAAGAAGAACCCTGGAAAGAAAGATCATGATGGATGATCCATCTGTACATCACCTCCAGGCCCATATCTCCACTCCAGGCCCATATCTCCACTTCCGTCCTATATCTCTACTCCAGGCCCATATCTCCACTCCAGGCCTATATCTCCACCTCTGTCCTATATCTCTACTCCAGGCCCATATCTACACTCCAGGCCCATATCTCCACCTCCAGGCCTGTATCTCCACCTCCAGGCCCGTGTCTCCATTCCAGGCCCATATCTGCACTCCAAGCCAACATCTCCACTCCAGGCCCATATCTCTACTCCAGGCCCATATCTACAGTTCCAGGCCCATATCTCCACCTCCAGGCCCATATCTCCACTCTAGGCCCATATCTCCACCTCCAGGCCCGTATCTCAATTCCAGGTCCATATCTGCACTCCAAGCCAATATCTCCACTCCAGGCCCATATCTACAGTTCCAGGCCCATATCTCTACTCCAGGCCCATATCTCTACTTCAGGCCCATATCTACAGTTCCAGGCCCATATCTCCACTCCAGGCCCATATCTCCACCCCAGGCCCATATCTCCACTCCAGGCCTATATCTCCACTCCAGGCCCATATCTCCACTCCAGGCCCATATCTCCACTCCAGGCCCAGATCTCCACCCCACCGCTCCCTCCCTCGATTCCCTTCCAGGACTCACCAACACACGCCATGCTGACGACCATGAGCGACATGGTGCTGCCGGTGCAGACAGGCGGCTGCGCCCCAGCTCAGTTCAGCAGCACACAGGATGTTGTGAGGGGCTCATGCAGTTTACATGCTGACCACATCATGGGAGGATGACGTATGCAGGCTATTTCTACCTTGCATGAGGCCCAGTGGCTGTTTGGTCAAGAGCAGAACATGGCTTCCTGGAAATTGTTCCAACTAGAATTGACACCTTGCATCCTTCACTATAACCAACTCAAAACACGTCTCAGATCCAATCTCTCATACAGGAGATGACTGAATGCTTGGCTTACATTAAAGACTTTTGATGTATTTTTGTTGTTTTTATCTGAGATTCAAACTCTTCTTCATGTGCTATTTTCCCCAGGCTGTTCTTTGACTTCAGAGTTCAAGCAATCCTCCTGCCCCAGCATTTCTAGCAGCTGGCAGTATGTCACAATCTGCCACACCCAAGTCACAACTTTTAGAACTTTTTTTTTTTTTGAGATGCAATCTCACTTCGTCACCCAGTTTGGAATGCAGTGGTGAGACCTCGGCTCATTGCAGCCTCCACCTCCCAGGTTCACGCAATTCTCGTGCCTCAGCCTCCTAAGTAGCTGGATTTACAGGCACCCACCACCACGCCCACCTAATTTTTGTACTTTTAGTAGAGAGGAGGTTTCTCCATGTTGGCCAGGCTGGTCTTGAACTCCTAACCTCAAGTGATCTGTCTACTTCAGCCTCCCAAAGTGCTGAGATTACAGGTGTGAGCCACCATGCCTGGCCGGGACATTCTATATGTGTGCGTATGTGTGCATTTATATACATATGGTTATACACACACACACACACACACACACACACCCTAAGCACTCACATATATAGTTGTTTCAAATTTTAAAAAATATAAATTTTGTATTTTTCTTTCTTTTTCTCACATTTGTGTTTCTATGACACCATATACATATTGAATTTTATAGCTCTATTTTATTCTTTTGGATTGCAGTTTAATAGTCCATGCATAACTTTATCAACATGTAATTATCCATTCTTTTTATCATGGACATTTGTGTTGTTTCCGGATTTTCTCTTTTATAACTCGGGCCTTGATAATCGTGTTTCTGTGTGATCCCTTGCATACATATGCTGAATTAATTAGACATATTTACCTAGAAATGAAATTATTGGTTTTGGGTGCAAGTTGGTGTTGAGCTTAACCAGGAAGTGCCAAAATATTTCCATCATGACCAAATGTGGCCTGGAAAGTTTTTTGGGGTCAATTTTCCTGTTTCTTCTAAGGAACAAAATTGATGTCACTGATTTTTCTGTCCTGTTTGTCATTTATGAATGTATGTACATATGCACGTATATATTTGCTTGCCATTTTATGTTTTTCCTCGACGTTACTTTGGAATTAATTTGCTGATGTGTAGTATTTCTGCAAGTGAAAGTTACCTATTTACTCAGCTCTTCCTTCTTTTCTAACACAGACATTTGAGGCTTATTGTCCCTTAACGCTGTTCTATCTGTATCCCCAGTCATTTGCCGAGATGTGTTTTCATTTTTAATTGATACAAAATATTTTCCACCTTTCTTTGAAATGTTTTTCTTCCACTCATTGTTTATTGCTATGTGTGTTTATTAATTTTAAAATATTTGATAATTTCCCCAGCATTTCCTTGTTGTACATTTATAATTTAATTCAACTGTTTCATCTATCATATTACCTATGATTCAGCATTTAAAAATTTATTTTGGTGAATGTTCCAGGGGTGCTAGACAAGTTTGTGGATTAGGAAGATTTGAGGTGGATGTTTTCTAAATGTCAGTTAAGAAAAAAATCATTCAAATGTTTTTCTTTATTTAAAAAAAATAGAGACGGGGTCTCACTATGGTGCCCAGGCTGGTCTCAAACTCCTGGCCTCAAGTGATCCTCCCATTTTGGCCTCCCAAAGTGCTAGGATTATTGAAATTATTAAATGTTTCATATCAACACCCAACCTTATGCACCCGCCGCCTACACAAATGTTTTTCAAGTCTTTCATATGCTTAATAATTTTCTGTGTACTTGTTCTGGAAGTGAGGTGAATGTTGCTATCTCTAGCTGCAATTTGGATGTGATTGATTATGTTTTGAATTATGCCTTTAATTTAATGTGTTTTGAGGTTCCAGCTTTAAGTGTGTAGGCATTTAGGATGATTATGTCTTATTTATGAATTTGCCTCTTTGTCATTATGAAGTACTCCTCTTCATATCTCCATATATCTCTTCTTTGTATGTGCATGGTGAAATATTTCATTCTTTGAGTTAAGAAACTTCTATTGAGGAATACTTTTTATTACAAACATTTACCTATTCTATGTATACAACTGACTAGAAGCATATTTTGCACTGGGCATTATCATGACAAGGTAATGTCATTCTTTCAATATTTACATCTTGTGGATTAGTATTTGAAGTGCAGCTTATGTAGACAGCATAAGGTTGGGTGTTGATATGAAACATTTAATAATTGCACACGTATTTGCCTCTTGGGATACTTCCACTTTTTTGAATTTCAAGTTACTAAATGGTATCATTAATCTTTGCTTCAAGAGCTTAACATTTATTGTAGAACAATGCTTCATGTAATAAATTGTGAGACATTTTTAATGGCACCTTTATTGCAGGAAAATGTTTTCCTTTTCAGGTTGAAAGATTCTAGTTTGAAATATTTTCTTGTAGCACTTTAAAAATGTTGGTCCACCTGTTTCTTACTTTCATAGTTTTGAATACAAAGTTTGCTGTCATTCTTGTATTTCTTCTTCTGTTTTTTATTTATTTATTTTTGACAGAATATCTTGCCGTCTCACCCAGGCTGGAGTGCAGTGGCATGATCTTGGCTCACTGCAACCTCTGCCTTCCAGGTTTCAGCAATTCCTGCCTCAGCCTCCTGAGTAGCTGGGACTACAGGCATGCGCCACCATACCCAGCCAATTTTTTTTTTTGTATTTTTTTTTTGTAGAGATGAAGTTTTGCCATATTGGCCAGAACTCCTGACCTCAAATGATCCACCTGCTTTGGCCTCCCAAAGTGCTGGGATTACAGGTGTGAGCCACTGTGCTCAGGCTATTTATTCCTTTTTATATAATATGAATTCACATTCATACATACCAGGGGTTAGGATTTCAACAAACGTTTCTGGGGGAGACCACTCAAAACACAGCACTCATCCTTGGTTATTTCCAGCCATGGAGCCTGTATCAATATCCTGGTGAATTATCTAAGCTGTCCACCTACCTACCCCAAATCCTCATGGTCACATAAAAGGCTAGTATAGTATAATAATTTTTCTTTCCCTGCTTATCTACAGTGATGAAGAAACGAATATTCAAAGGGAAAAATCTTAGCTTTAGGTATAGGGTAATTCTTCTTCCTATTTTTAAATAACTTCAACCTTTACTGTAGATTAAAGGTATGCATGCAGGTTTGTTACATAGGCATATTGTGTGACTCTGAGGTTTGTGGTTCCAACAATGCCATCACCCAGGCAATGAGCATAGAATCCAACAGGTGTTTCTTCAGCCTATACCTCCCTACTCCTCCCCCCATCTGTAGTCCTCGGTATCTGTTGTTTCCATCTTTATGTTCATGTGTATTCAATGTTTGGTTCTCAGTTATAAGTGATAACATGTGGTATTTGGTTTTCTGTTCCTGGGTTAGTTCACTTAGGAGATTGACCTCCTGCTACATTCATGTTGCTGCAAAGGACATGATTTCATTATTTTTTATGGCCATGTAATGTTCCATGTGTATATGTAGCACATTTTCTTTAACTAATCCACTGTTGGTGAGCACTTAGGTTGACTGCAAATCTTTGCTATTCTGAATTGCACAGCAATGAATATACTAGTGCATGTGTCTTTTTGACATAGTTAATTACCTTCCTTTTGGTATATACCCAGTAGTGGGATTGCTTGATTGAATAGTAGTTCTATTTTAAGTTATTTGAGAAGTCTCCAAACTGCTTATCACATTGGCTGAACTAGTTAACATTCCCACCAAGAGTGTATAAGTGTTCCCTTTTCTCCACAATCTTGTCAGCATCTGTTATTAAAAAAAACAAAAAACTTTTTAGTAATTGCTTCTGCTTCTCTGATTGTTGTGAGATGGTATCTCACTGTGGTTTTAATTTGCATTTCTCTGATGATTACTGATAATAAGCATTTGTTCATATGTTTTTTGGCCATGTGTACATCTTCTTTTGAGAAGTGTCTGTTCATGTCATACTTAATTGAGGTTTTTTGGTTTTCTGCTTGTTGATTTGTTTACATTCCTTATAGATTCTGGATATTAGAACTTTGTCAGATGCATAGTTTGCAAATATTTTCTCCCAGTCTGTAGGTTATCTGTTTACTCTGTTGATACTTTCGTTTGCTGTGCAGAAGCTCTTCAGTTGAGTTAGGTCCCAATTTCTGTCTTTGTCACAATTGGTTTTGGGGAGTTAGCCATAAATTCTTTGCCAAAGTCTATCTTGAGAAGGATATTTCCTAGGTTTTCTTCTAGAATTTTAATATTTTGAGGTTTTACATTTAAATCTTTAAACTATCTTGGGTTAATTTTTGTATATAGTGAGAGTTAGGGGTCCAGTTCTATTATTTTGCATATGAGTAGTCAGTTATCCCAGAACTATTTATTGAAGAAAGGGTACTTTCCACATTGCTTGTTTTTGTCAATTTTTTCAAAGATGATTGTAGGTATGTAGCCTCATTTCTGGGTTCTCTATTCTGTCTCATTGGTCTATGTGTCTGTTTTTGTAGTAGTATCATGCTGTTTGGGTTACTATAGCATTGTAGTATAGTTTGAAGTTGGGTAATGTGATGCCTGGGCTTTGTTCTTTGTGCTTAGGATTCCTATGTGTATTCAGGCTCTTTTTTTGGTGCCAAATACATTTTAGAATAAATTTTTATAATTTCGTGAAAAATGACATTGCATTTTGAAATGGATAGCATTGAGTCTGCAATTTGTTTTTGGAAGTATGGCGATTTTAACTATTTGTTCTCCTAATTCATGAGCATGGAATATTCTTCCATTTGTTTGTATCATTTCTTATTTCTTTCAGAAGTGTTTTGTAGTTCTCCTTGTAGAGAATTTTCACCTTCTTGGTTAGATGGATTCCTAGGTATTTTATTTTCTTTGTGGCTAGTGTAAATGGAATTGTGTTCTTGATTTAGTTCTCAGCTAGAATGTTAGTGGTGCATAGAAATGTTACTAATTTGTGTACATTTTTTTAATCCCGAAACTTTATTGAATTTGTTTATCAGTTTCAGGAGCCTTCTGACAGAGTCTTTAGGGTTTTCTATGTATAAAATTATTTCATCAGCAAAGAGAGACAGTATCACTACTTCTTTTCCAATTTTAATGCCTTTTATTTCCTTCTCTTGCCTGATTGCTTTGGCTAGGACTTCCAGTACCATGTTGAATTAAAATGGCGGGAGTGGTCATCCTGGTCTTGTTTCGGTTCTCAAGGGGTATGGTTCCAGCTTTTGCCCATCAATATGATGTTGGCTGTGGGTTTGTCATAGATGGCTCTTAATATTTTGAGGTATGTTCCTTTGATGCCTATTGACAGTTTTTATCATGAAGGGATGTTGGATTTTACAGAAAGCTTTTTCTGCATCTATTGAGATGATCATATAGTTTTTGTTTTTAATTATGTTTATGAGGTGAATCACATTCGTTGACTTTGTAGGTTGAACCAACCTTGCATCCCAAAAATAAAGCTTACTTGATCATGTGAATTAACTTTTGATGCACTGACAGATTCAATTTGCTAGCATTTTGTTGAGGATTTTATGTCTATGTTCATTAAGGATATTTAGTTGTAGTTTTCTTTTTTTCATTATGTCTCTGACAGATGTTGGTATCATGGTGATGATGGCTTCATAGAATGAGTTAGGAAGAAGCCCCCACTCCTTGATTTTTTCCAAAAGTTTCAGTAAGATCGGTATCAGTTCTTCTTTGTATGGCTGTTGGATTTTGGCTGTGAATCCATCTGGTCCTGGGCTATTTTTAGTTAGTAGGGTTTTTATTACTGATTAAATTTCTGAACTTGTTATTGGTCTGTTCAGGTTTTCACTTTCTTCCTGGTTGAAATATGATAAATTTTGTGTTACCAGGAATTTATCCATTTCTTCTAGGTTTTCTAGCTTGTTTGTATAGAGGTGTTCATAATAGTCTTTGACGATCTTTTCTATTTCTGTGGGATTGTTCGTAACATTGTTTTGTCAGTTCTATTTGTGTTTATTTGGATCTTTTCTCTTTTTCTTTGTTAATCTAGCTAACAGTCTATGAATTTTGTTTATTTTTTTTCAAAGAAAAACTCTTGGTTTTATTTATCTCTTGTATGGACTTTTTGGTCTCAATTTATTCAGTTCTCTCTGACTTTAGTTATTTCTCATCTTTTGCTGGCCTTGGGTTTGGACTGTTCCTTTTTTTTAATAGTTCCTCTAGATGCAGTGTTAAGTCACTAATTTGAGATCTTTCTAAACTTCTGATGAGGCATGTATTGCTATAAATTTTCCTCTTATCACTGCTTTAACTGCATCCCAAAGGTTTTGGTAAGTTTGTTTCTATTTTTATTAATTTTAAATAATGTTTTGTGATTTCTGCTTTAATTTCATTGTTCACCCAAGAGTTCTCAAGGGGTACAGTTCCAGCTTTTGACCATTCAATATGATGTTGGCTGTGGATTTGTCATAGATGGCTCTTAATATTCATTCAGAAACAAGTTGTTAAATTTCCATGTTTTTCTGTAGTTTTGAGAGATCATCTTGGTATTTTTTTCTATTTTTATTGTGTGCCTTGTTATGATTTTGATTCTTTGAATTTATTGAGACTTGCTTTGTGGCCAGTCTTAGAATATGATATGTTTTTTGTGTGTGCAGATAAGAAGAATCTATATTCTGCAGTTGTTGGGTGGAGTACTCTGTAGATGTCTATGAGGTCCAATTGGTCAAGTGTTGTCTTTAAGACCAGAATTTCTTTGTTAGTTTTCTGTTTTAGTGATTCATCTGACGTTGTTAGTGGGATACTGAAGTCCCTTACTATTATTGTGTGGCTGTCTAACTCTTTTCATAGGTGAAGAATAACTTGTTTTATGAATCGGGGTGCTCCAAATTTGGGTGCATATATATTTAGAATAGTTAAGTCTTCTGTCAAATTGAACCCTTTATCATTTTGTAATGCCCTTCTTTGTCCTTCCTGATTGCTGTTGATTTAAAGTGTGTTTCATGTGATATAAGAATAGGAATGCCTTCCTTTTTTTTGTTTCCTGGTTGCCTAGTAAATATTTCTTCATCCTTTTACTTTGAGCCTGTGGGTGTCATTACATGTGAGATGGGTCTCTTGAAGACAGCAGGCAGTTGGCTCTTGGCTTTTTATCCACGTTGCCACTCTATGCCTTTTATGTGGGGAATTTAGGCCATTTACATTTCTTCTCCTGATATATCCTTTTTATATTTTTATGATTGCCTTTTAAAATATATTGAATGGTTGTAATTCCAGGGAAATGTCTTTCAGAACAGTATTTATTCCCATCTACATGTTTTGGAGAGTGCACTAGGGGACATTGAAGTTTATTTCCTGAAAAGAGTTTAATTTTAAAATGTATTTTATTTAATAACTCAATGATTCAGGGAATGTCTAGGTATTTCAGAGATTGTTTTAGACAGTTTGTTTTCTTGTGATATGTGACCACTTCATCTAAGCTGAATAATGTCTTCATAATGTCCACTTAGAATCTTTTGAATTCTGTAGGATCTGTACTGATGTCATTGTTTCCTTTCTGATATTGGTAATTTTCCTGGGGTAGGATTCTTAGCTCCTCCTGAGGTCCTGCCTCTAAAATTCAGGGAACAATGAGTCAGATTAGTACTCTGATTTCAAAGGGAAAGCTGATCATCTACCATTTTTTGTTTATGTAAATGGACACATTAACATCCCTTGTCTGAACCTTAGTTACCTTGTTTGGAGCATTTTGCTATAAATCTCACTTCTCAGAGTGGTTGTGGGGCTTGATGTGGCTGGGGTATGGGATGGCTTAAACATAATTTATTTCCAGACCAGGTTAAGGCATGAAGGGGTTGGGACTTGTTAGAATCCTGTTGTCGGACTCCACAGTAAGGGTAGACATTTGAGGCACCCAATCAAAAACCTCAGTTGTTCCTAGCACTGAGAAATTTGATAGAATGTTTCTAAAACATTATTCATGGTCTAATGCACAAAAAGTAAAGTGATAGCCCTGGAAGTAGACAGGGAACCATAAGAAAAAAGAGAGAGCAAAGCTCAGTGGTCACCAGTGCCTGGGACCATCAAGGGGTTATTAAGGAGGAAGTTTCCACCTCTGTGGGGAACAGAAGAGGCTCCCTAGGGTCCACACACACAGGGAGTGAGCCAAGACTCTGGGCGAGGCTGGAAGCTCTGGGTCTCCTTCTGTGAGATTTTCTTTTTTTTTTTTGAGATGGAGTCTTGCTCTGCCACCCAGGCTAGAGTGCAACGGCGCGATCTCGGCTCATGGCAACCTCTGCATAAAGTGGTATGTATTTAAGGCATGCATTAGACAAATTACTAAGTATTTACTAGATAAGAAAAAATTATATCTGAATCTTTTCAAATTGCCGTCTTATGCATTATATTCTCTTTTTATAGTGCAATTTCTTAATAGTTAATGCCAGAAGATTTTTTTTTCTTCCTTTCTTTCTTTCTTTTTTTTTTTTTTTTGAGACAGAGTCTCACTCTGTTGCCAGGCTGGAGTGCAGTGGCACGATCTCGGCTCACTGCAACCTCCGTCTCTCGGGTTCATGCCATTCTCCCGCCTCAGCCTCCTGAGAAGCTGGGACTACAGGCACCCTCTACCATGCCCAGCTATTTTTTTTTTTTTTTTTGTATTTTTAGTAGAGACGGGGTTTCACCATGTTCGCCAGGATGATCTCTGTCTCTTGAACTCGTGATCCACCTGCCTTGGCTTCCCAAAGTGCTGGGATTACAGGCATGAGCCACTGCACCTGGTCGCCAAAAGATATTTTTAAAAACCTAAATGCCACTTGAAATGAATAAGACCCTCAATAATTCATGGGATATACATGTGAACTTATGACATATGATGAAATAAGCAGGTTACAAAATTGTAATATATCAAGCAAGGTAGAAAGCCATGGCAGAAAAAGAGACAAGCATTTTCAAGATAAGGAATGAAAGAGGGGAAACAGTACTATTGATTTTACAGATTTTACAAAGATATCTTAGGTGTGTTTTCCTAAATAATAAATGTACCCTCCTTTTGACCTTTATGTAATGAAATAACCATGCACACATTTTCAAATAATACTTCATTTACTTGACTTTATGCTTGAAAATTGAAGTATGGTGCTGTTTGTTATTTTCATTTATGCATTTTACTACCTTGTAATATTCCACTGAGTCTATTTACCACACTATGTTTATTTTTTTCGTAGGTGGACTTTGGTATTTTATAGCTTTGGCTAATAGGAACAGCATTCCTATAACAGTTGTGAGTGTATCATGACACATAAGTAGACATTTATCTCTAGGGTACATAATTAAGTACATAATTAAGAAGGGTCACAGCCATGTGCCTCCTCTTTTTAACTAGATAATTCCAATACACTTCCTTAATTGATTAAAGCAATTTGTACTCTTACTATTAATGTACTAAAATTCTACATGTTCAATATTCTTTCCAAAAAATGATTTTGCTACTTTTTTCTTTTCTTGAGACTGAGTCTTGCTCTATCACCCAGGCTGTAGTGATCTCGGCTCACTGCAACCTCCGCCTCCTGGGTTCATGCGATTCTCGTGCCTTGGCCTCCCAAGTAGCTGGGATTACAGGCAGGCGCCACCATGTCTGGCTAATTTTTGTATTTTTAGTAGAGACAGCGTTTCACCATGTTGGCCAGGCTGGTCTCGAACTCCTGACCTCAGGTGATCCTCCTGCCTCGGCCTCCCAAAGTGTTGGGATTACAGGCATGAGCCACCACACCCGGCCTATTTTTTTCTTTTCCCTCCATTGTGCTATGATTTTTGACATTACAATTTTACTGAAACTACACCATAAGAATGAAGCAGAAATTATTATAACCTTTAAATAAACTTTACAACTGGTTCATACTCGTGTGAACGACAATTCTTTTGACTACTTCCCAACTGTGCATTCAATGGCGTCATATGGGCACCCTGAAGTTGGCCATAAAGGACGTATTTATACCACACTAATCAGCAAATACCATAAATCTGGGGCTTTATATGTTCAGAGTTTTCTTAAGAAAATAATTTTTTCAGAGAGCCAGTTTAACAGAATACCATGAGGCTGAGCCTTCGAGCGTTAGTGTGCTCATTCTGAGAGATGATATTTCTGGACAAAGTACACAGGTATCATCCGATGAAGAGTGAAGGGAATTCAGGGTCCAGAGAGGGTGCTAGGGCATCATTTCAGACTCATATTTCCCTTTTTTTTTTTTTTTTTGGAGATGGAGTCTTGCTCTGTTGCCCAGGCTGGAGTGCAGTGGCAAGATCTTGGCTCACTGCAACCTCCGCCTCCCGGGTTCAAGCTATTCTCCCGCCTCAGCTTCCTGAGCAGCTGGGATTACAGGTGCTCACTGCCACACCCAGCTAATTTTTGTATCTTTTAGTAGAGACAGGGTTTCACCATGTTGGCCAGGTTGGTCTCGAACTTCTGACCTCAAGTGATCCGCCCACCTCAGCCTCCCAAAGTGCTGGGATTACAGGTGTGAGCCACTGTGCCTGGCCTCAGACTCATGTTTCAAAGTCCCAAATACAAATCTGCCCACCTATTCCAGTTATTTAATCCAGATCTATGCTCAGAACTGAAAAGATGGAGAATCAATAGTTCACTTTAGAGAATGCGGTAGTTGGAAACAAAGACAAATGTATTACATGACAGTGGACCAGAGCACGTGATCGCAGGGGTGTGGATGCAAACCCACCATGGGGGACGTGCCTTCACATCACAGAGAGCGAAAGGAAGGGAGGGGCAGACACGGAGGATCCACAACAGCAGGACTGAAAGCACTGCCATTTAATGGAAGTTTAATGGAGGAAGCGTTCTCTACAGGCACCCAGACATCTTCCTGAACCTGACCCAAGCCTCCCCTTCTCGACTTTCTCAGTAGACGGTTTCCCGAATGATGGTCCAGACTTTCTTCCAGAACCTCCTAGGACTATCAGATTCATTGCCAAGGCTCTGGCACTCTGAAGGGTGCATTGTTCTCTCATGTATTTACCTCCTTGCTGCATCTTGGGGACTTCTCTAGCTGTGCCAGTCCTAAAGCAGCAGAATCCCGAGGACCACCAGGACCAAGCCAGCCACAGCCACGCGGATGAGATTCTCCACTGTGTAATCCTGGGGGTGTGAGGCTGGGGATGGTGGACCAAGAGGTCTCAGAGGTCAGGGCAGATCAACATCACCCGGGACCCCTGGATGTCCACCCAGGGCACCCACCTCCCCTTCACAGGACCTGACCCTCTGTGCCAGCCCCATAACCGAGAGCATCTCCTTACACACCAGTCTTGGAGTCTGTCTTGTTTTGCGATGGGCTGAGGGTCTCAGCTGCTCCTGAGAATCAACCAAAAAAGGGGGAGGTGTGTGAGGAGTTGAAGAGACTTAAGCCAACATGTCCCTCAGTTGCTGCATTCCTTTGTGTCTACACTTCTCCTAACTGCTCTGTAGTTGTGTGATAGAACCTTTCCCTGCCGTGGCAGAGGTACATTCGCATACATACATACATATATGCATAGGTGTAAATATGTGTGTATACATAATATGTGTTATGCATATGTGTATACATAATATGTATTATGCATATGTGTATAGATAATATGTATTATGCATATGTGTATGCATAATATGTATTATAAGATATAGTGTGAGTATATATAAATATATAATATATAAGATATATAATAGTGTGTGTATACATATAAATATATAATAAGATATGTAATAGTGTGTGCATATATAAATATATAATATATAATAAGATATATAATAGTGTGTATATATAAATATATAATACATAATATATTATAAGATATATAATAGTATGTATATATAAATATATAATACATAATATATAAGATATATAATAGTGTGTGTATATATAAATATATAATACATTATATATTATAAGATATATAATAGTATATATAAATATATAGTACATAATATATAATAAGATATATAATAGTGTGTGTATACATATAAATATATAATAAGATATGTAATAGTGTGTGCATATATAAATATATAATATATAATAAGATATATAATAGTGTATATATATAAATATATAATACATAATATATTATAAGATATATAATAGTATGTATATATAAATATATAATACATAATATATAAGATATATAATAGTGTGTGTATATATAAATATATAATACATTATATATTATAAGATATATAATAGTATATATAAATATATAGTACATAATATATAATAAGATATATAATAGTGTGTGTATACATATAAATATATAATAAGATATGTAATAGTGTGTGCATATATAAATATATAATATATAATAAGATATATAATAGTGTATATATATAAATATATAATACATAATATATTATAAGATATATAATAGTATGTATATATAAATATATAATACATAATATATAAGATATATAATAGTGTGTGTATATATAAATATATAATACATTATATATTATAAGATATATAATAGTATATATAAATATATAATACATAATATATAATAAGATATATAATAGTGTGTGTATATATAAATATATAATACATAATATATATTATAAGATATAATAATGTGTGGGTAATATAAATATATAATACATAATATATAAGATATATAATAGTGCATATATAAATATATAATACATAATATATATTATAAGATATAATAATGTGTGGGTATATATAAATATATAATACATAATATATATTATAAGATATAATAATGTGTGGGTATATATAAATATATAATACATAATATATAAGATATATAATAGTGTATATATAAATATATAATACATAATATATATTATAAGATATATAATAGTGTGTGAGTATATATAAACACATACATATATATTTGAAGTGAGAAGAGTATTATATAATTTAGAAACAAACAAGTTTGTCCTCCATTTTCTTGTGGTTAATGTAATTATTATCAATAAATCAGAAGAGATCATTTCGGAAAGGATTGAAAGGGAGTGTGTCTGTGGTAAGTTAATAGGAACTAAAATTAGCATACCCAAACCAATAGCTTTCTCATCCATACGTAACTAATTTTAGAAAATAGAAAGGAATCAAAGACTTTCAAATTATTCAAGTAGTAAAACAATGCTTAAAATTCACAATGTCCACAATTTTTATGAATACAACTTCAAGCATCTGCTAACTGTATAAAGTTTAATTTTAAATGTATTGGATACAAAGACATTATTAATGAGAAGTTATTCTCCATCATGAATGCACATATTTAATTTAATCCCAAAGAAAATCAGAGCACAGTTATTTTACATCATAACGCTACCTAACAAATTAAATGTGTAAATTATAAATGCCAGCATTGCTTTGAAATCTTCAGAAACAGAAAGAGAAACTAGATATGTGGACATAAAAAATAAAGGACAGAAAGGAATTGCACACGAGGTTTGCTGTTGAATAATTTGCCTGCATTGCTGCAGTGAGCAGGTGCATGATCTCCCCTTCGTCTCAGGTATGCACTGAGTATTTTGGGGCCGCCAGGGGAGCCCAGGTGGGGAGTGGGTGGGGCCTCCATCTTCTACCCTCAGCCTAAGCATGATTCCTCCAAGGTTTCTCCATATCTCATTTCAGCCCTCCCTGGCCTTTAGCCCCATCTGAGGTCTCTGGGGTGGGAGCCCAGGATTAGGAGGTCCCTGACTATTTCCACCCTCTCATGGGCTGGGCCCTCCCCTGCCGACCCTCCCCCTTTACTCCCCTCTTTCCTTAGCGTCCTGAGCTCTCCTGGGGGCAGGGCCTGAGCTGAGGTTTGAGCTCAGAGAGGACAGGGTCAGCGGCCTCACCTGAGACCACGAGCTCCAGGGGGTCACTGGGGTGAGACAGCAGGTAGGGGAAGAATCTGCGTGAGCTGTAGCACCTGTAGGTCCCCGCGTGGGCTGAGGTCACAGGACTCATGGGGAATTCAGCCTGGTGCTGCTGAGCTTGGTGCTCTGATCTCAGACGCAGTGGGTGATGGGCTGCCCCCTCCTTGGTCAGAAGGAAAGTGTCCAACTGCTCCCGTGACTGACACAGCAGGGTCACGTTCTCTCCTGAGGCCACCGTGGGGCCCGGCTGCACCGAGAGGGAGGGTCTGCCACGGATCTGTCCTGGAGAGAAGAAGGATGGGTGAGGGGCTGCCCCACCTCGTTCTGAGCTGACACCTCCCCAGGCCTCTCCCTGGGACCCTCAGTGTCTCTGTCTCTGTTTTCTCTGAGTCTCCCCCTCCCCGCCCATCCCCTGTCTCTGTCTGTCTCTCCGTCCCTTAGGACCCCCACCCCTCATCCCGGCCATCACCACCTGGGCTCCCCCAGCAGGGCCTGTGCGGAGCCTGGGTCCCTGACTGAACCTGCTGGGCTCCTCACCTGCGATCAGGATGCTCAGGGGGTCACTGGGGGCCGACCACTCGGAGGAGAGGTTGTGTGCACCGTAGCATCTGTACTGGCCCCCGTGGGAGACCCTCACAGGGCCCAGGGTGAAGTTGGCCTGGGAGAGCCCAGCCTGGGGCTGCCGGCCAGAGCCCTGGACGAGGTCATGTCCCCCCTCCTTGTACAGAGTGAATTTGTCATAGCCGACATCAGAGCCACACTGGAGGGTCAGATTCTCCCCAGGGGCCACGACAGGGCCCTGCAGGGTCAGGAGGGAGGGCTTCCTAGACACGCCTGGAGGGAAAGAAGAGTCGGGACTAGGAGGGCTGGTTCCTCCCACACCCCTTCCTTCTCCCCTCCTGGCCCTGCAGGTCTCACTGTCTCTCACACTCAGTGTCTCTGGGCTCAGGAGTCCCAAACTTCCCTTGTTCCACCCTCCTACATGGGGCTCCGTGAGAGTAAGTTCTCAAAAATAAATAGGGCAAGGAGGAAGACATCCATACCTAAGACCAGGATCTCCATGGTATCACTGGGTTCCGACCACACCCAGGGGAAGTTCGTGTAATGCCCATAGCATCTGAACATCCACCGGTGACTGGCAGCCACACGGCCCACAGGGAACAGGGCCAGGGACAAGGGACAGCCCCTTGGAGAGTTCCTGTGAGTCCAGCATCCAGGAGAGCTTGTTTTCTCCTTCCTCAATCAAAATGAACCTGTGAAATCCCACCCTTGAGCTACACTGGATGGTCACGTTCTCTCCTGAGGTCACCACAGGGCTCGGCAGGGCTGAGAGAGTGGGTTTTCTGTGGGCTCCTAGGAGAGAAGGAGACACTGTCTTAAATGGGGCTCACGCGTCCCACATCATCCCCCAGGGCTGAGTTATTAGAACGGAGATGCCCTTGAGAGCTGACCCCCTTCCTGCAGGCAGAGCCTGGGGCTGGGACCCCTGAGTGTCCTCTTACCTGTCACCACCAGCTCCAGGGGCTCGCTGCGCTCTGACCAGCCTGCAGGGCTGAGATAGTGACAGTGGTATCTCCCTGCATGGTGCTCTCTCATGGATGGGATGAAGAAGTTGGTCTTGTTCCTGGGCTCTGGTGGGCTCTGTTGGTACCAGGTCATGGGGTTTCCTTCCTTGGTGAGATAGTAACCCTGGGTATCCAGGGTCCCCTGGCACCAGAGGGTCATGGGGCTCTCCCAGGTAATCACAGAGCCTGGCTCAGCCCAGAGGCTGGGTTTGGGGAGGGTCCCTGGAAGAAACCACAGGCTGGGGTCCACAGACCTCCCCCGCTCCTCATTCCCAGCTCAGGTCACAGACCCTCTTGATTTTCTCACCCTCAGTTCAGAAGCCCCTGAGATGAGAGTCCAGGTGCTGAGTGTGAGGTCAGGCATGGGAGGTTAGCAGAGACTCACCTGCAAGTGCTTGGGCTTTCTGGCCCAGACTCAGCCATGGAGAAGAGTTTCCTGTGGGGGATTTGGAACACAGAGGTGTGGCTGCTTCCCTTCCTGTTGGAGCACCAGTAGCCACTGGAGCCCTGAGGCTCTCTGGTGAACAAGGCTGCTGTGGGACCCTCCCCACCTCAGCCCAGTGCCCCTCCTGTCCCTCGTCTCTCCACCACTGACTGAGGCACAGAAGAACAGTGAGGATGGACACCATGATGCCTGCTCTGCGTGCTCCAGCTGTGGGACAGGTGACCACATGGCCCTCCATGACAGACAGATGCACGGATGTGGTTAAGTCAGAGCCTGCTGCCGCCTGCCTGGGTCCCCACAGCTGTGAACCCACAGGAAGTGGACAGCCCCTTGCTGGGCCTGTCTCTTATTCCCCCCCCAGTGCAGGGGCTCAGGAGGACCCAGGCCCTCTGCACACATCTCAGCCCAGACCTGAGGTGTCCCCTGATTGCCAGGGATCCTTTGTCTGAAAACCTGCCCGTGGAGGGTGGACCCAACATCATATCTATGTCAGCTCCCAACTTAGCTGGGTCTAAACTGAAAACACAGCCCTTATTTTCTCAGAGCCTCCACTCATGACATCGGCTTTCTTTTTCCCCACTGATGCAAAGACAAATATTTCCCAGCAGAAAGTCATCCTGATCTGGAGAGACCCATTTCCTGCGTTCAGTAAATAAAGTCAGTTTCATTAGGGGAGGCTCTGGGAAAATAAGGGGATGCAGACTAGCAGAAGATGAACATTTAGCTACTTGTTTCTCAATTAATTGATTTATTACCAAAGAGAGAGAAGTGGAAACATGAGAATAGGGACCATGACTAGAATGTGGTTGAGGGAATGGTTTCTATCTTATTCCCTGGCAGAGAACTAAGGGATAAGAATGAGAAAGCTGGCTGGGTGCAGTGGCTTACACCTGTAATCCCAGCACTTTGGGAGGCCGAGGCAGGAAGATCACAAGGTCAGGAGTTCAAGACCAGCCTGACCAACATGGTGAAACCCCTGTCTCTACTAAAAATACAAAAACTAGCTGGGTGTGCTGGCATGCGCCTGTAATCCCAGCTACTAGGGAGGCTGAGGTGGGAGAATCGCTTGAACCTGGGAGGTGGAGCTTGCAGTGAGCCGAGATCGCGCCACTGCACTCCAGCCTGGGCAACAAAGCCGGACTGTCTCAAAAAAAAAAAAAAAAAAAAAAAAAAAGAAAGAGAGAAAACCCAGCAGTGAGAGGTAGTTGTGAGAACACACTAAAGAGGAAAGATAATCCAGGGCTGGGAGTGGTGGCTCATGCCTGTAATTCCAGCACTTTGGGAGGCTGAGGCTGGCAGATCACAAGGTCAGGAGTTCGAGACCAGCCTGACCAACATGGTGAAACCCTGTGTCTACTAAAAATGCAAAAATTAGCTGGGTGTGGTGGTGGGTGCCTGTAATCCCAGCTACTCAGGAGGCTGAGGTGGGAGAATCGCTTGAACCCAGGAGACGGAGGTTGCAGTGAGCTGAGATTGCACCACTGCACTCCAGCATAGGCAACAAAGCCAGACTCTGCCAAAAACAAAAACAAAAACAAAAACAAAAACAAAAAACAAGAAAGCTCAGTGAGAGGTGGTTGTGAGAACACACTAAAGAGGAAAGATCATTCAGGGCTGGGAGTGGTGACTCACGCCTGTAATCCCAGCACTTTGGGGGGCCACAGGCGGGTGGATTACCTGAGGGCAGGAGTTCAAGACCAGTCTGGCCAACATGGTGAAACCTCGTCTCTACTAAAAATACAAAAACTAGCTGGGTGTGATGGCGGGTGCCTGTAATCCCAGCTACTTGAGAGGCTGAGTCAGGAGAATCTCTTGAACCCAGGAGGCAGAGGTTGCAGTGAGCTGGGATCGTGCCACTGTACTCTAGCCTGGGTAACAGAGCAAGGCTCTGTCTCAAAAAAATAAAAATTAGAAAGAAAAAAGGAGAAGGAGAAGAGGAAGGAGACAGAAAGGAGAGAAACATCCCTGAGGTGGAACATTACATGCAACATGGAGTAGGCAGGGAATCCGATAGAGCACTGAAACTCTCGCTGGGTACGGTGGCTAACATCTGTACTCCCAGCACTTTGGGTGGCCGAGGTGGATGGATCACCTGAGGTCAGGAGTTTAAGACCAGCCTGACCAACATGGTGAAACCCCATCTCTACTAAAAATACAAAAGGCTGGGTGTGGTGGCTCACGCCTGTAATCCCAACACTTTGGCAGTCTGATACAGGCGGATCACATGAGATCAGGAGTTTGAGACCAGCCTGGCCAAGATGGCAAAACCTCATCTCTACTAAAAATACAAACATTACCTGGCTGTGGTGGCAGTCGCCTGTAATCCCAGCTATGCAGGAGGCTGAGGCAGGAGAATCGCTTGAACCTGAGAGGTGGAGGTTGCAGTGAGTCAAGATCGTGCCATTGCACTCCAGCCTGGCCAATAGGAGCAAAACTCCATGTGAAAATAAAATAAAATAAAATAAAATATAATAAAATAAAATAATAAATCAAAAAAGGACTGGACATCTCCTGTGGGTTGTCAGTGAATGGAACTAAGCAAGCCACCGCTCTTTCCCTTTTGTCCCGCAAGTGTCTTTCTTGGCCTCCAGGAAGTGAGTTCCATCATGTCAGACCCTATGTTTGTTCCTGCTGGGTTCACTGAGGCTCCTCCCTTTCCACCTGTGGCTCCCCATGGGTTCCCAGTCCCCAGCCAGTGTTGTGAATCGAGCCAGGAAGACCAGCCCTATCACACCCCTCCTGATGGAATTCCCACAGTGTCATCCTGGAGAACAGGGGCTGGGGGCTGGGGTAGGATCAGAGACCTTTTCATGTGGGCCAGGCCCCTCCCTCCACAGGAGCTCTGACACGAAGCTCATCACCATTCATTTCACCCTGACGATATTCTTCCTGCCCAGACACCCCCGTTCTCCCTATGTCATCATGGGCACCTCAGTGAAATCCATGGTTGAGGGTCTCTGTCACTTACTCTGCCCTCTTCTTGGAAAATTTCCTTGGATCCTTCCAGAGCCCTTCCTGAGTGTGCTGCAGGGTCTCTGCCACATGACACACTCTCAGGAACCCTCATCCTCCCCTTAATCTACTGCGCCCACATAGCCAGGTGCAGGCTCCGTTTCTTCATCTTCCCTTCCCCACAGGCCCCGATGGAGAGTGGATTAGACTCGCTCCTGAGTAGGGACTCAGGTCACTCTGACCCCTTCCTCCCTGTGGACGAGGCCTCTGTCCCAGAGCTTTGGAGGCTGAAGGGCCTTGTGGATTCCCGCACTGGCCACAGTCTCCGATGCAGATGGGGAACTGGGGACCTGGGAGGGGTTGCCTAGCCCAAGGCCACATAGCTGGGCGGTGGCACAGCCTTCACTCACACAGGGACATTCCATCTTCCCAGGGACTTCACACTGGAGGCTAAGAGCCCCACTTTGCACACCACATTCAGGGGTAGATTCTGTGTGTGACTAACAAGTTCTCTTAGGGTTCCGAGGTAACAGGACAGCAAATGGATGAGTGAGAGTTTCCCTCACCCCACTGAAGTAGGACCATTCTCTGTGGAGGGTTGGTCCCCTGACTTCCTCTACTCTGTCATCTCCCTAGTGACTGATAGGGGTCCTGGGGTCTCTTCCCTGGAATCCCATGAGGGACAATTCCTTTCCTGAAGGGAAGGTATAGAGAGGACTAGCAGGTGCCTGGTGATGGAAAGTCCCCATAATCAAGAGACATTGCCTCCCCCCCCCGGCATGATAAATATCTGGGTTTCCAAATGGGAAATCTGTCTGTGATGAGAGCTCAGGAGGGGCTTCTGGAAGATGGAAAAGGGCTAGAGGCTGAGGCCACTGCTTATCTCCCCACACTGTATCTGGCTTCACCTCCTGTGTTTGTCCTGACCTCTTCCTTCACTCACCTGGATAAGTAGGACCCCAAAGTGGGCCTCCAGACAGGAAGCAGTGGAGAGTGTGGAGCTGCCCTGTCTACCACCCTACACCCTGACACCACTGTCATACTCAACCTCTCTTTTCCTCTTTGTGTTTCTCATTGCTTCATTTTGTCTGGAATCCCTAAGATTCCCATGTCTCCAGCAGGCTGTCCCTCAGACGTGGCTATATGATTTAGTGTTTCACAGGGCATGCAGCAGGCATGGGCTACCCCCAGTAACAGTGGTCATCTAGGGCTGATCACTCACAGGCAGAGCCATCGACAGAGAGCTGCAGCATCTAGAGGTCCCATCACCAGCCCCAAGACCCAGAGAGAAGTTGGCCTGAATGCCCCACTCTGTCTCTGCACCCCAGTGAGCCAGTGTCCAGGGGCCTTACCTTCCTCGTTAGAAGGCACAGGTCAAATGAGCTTCCAGAGCTGCAGAGCAAAGTCACATTCTCTCCATCATTACTTACTGCAGGGCACAGTTGAGCTGAGAAGGAAGGTCTCTTGTAGACGCCTGGGGAAAAAAATAGTCCTTGACTGTCGAGCACAAGCCTTACCCAGCCTATCCTCAGGGCATGAAAAAGGCATTCTCTCCACCTGTTCTGGGGAGCACACTCTGTTACCCACTCGTGCCTCTCTCCATCTCAGTTCTAGCTCTACAAGCTGGCTCATCATGTGTGTGTTTTCCTGTCTGTCTTTGCTCAGCTTTTCCTTGAATCTCTTGCTTTTTGCCGGTGCGTGTGTGGCTTTCTGCCCTTAGAACCATATGAGATTTAGGGTTCTCCTGGCACATAGAACTGTTTACTTTGAGGACCCTCAGAAAACATAGCCCTGGGCTAAGGCTCCCTGTCCTGGAACTAGAAGGTTATGGGTGTCACCATTTCCCAACAGCATGTCTGAAAGTGCCAGAATCTTCAAAGAGTCTGCAACATGTTTGTAGGATCTTTATAGGGTCTGATATTGCAGGGACCAACCAAAGTGCCCTCACACCCCAAGACGCTGGAAGTGACCCCTTGCTGAAAGTGGTTGGAAGTTTCACATAGAAGTTTGAGTTAAGCCACATTGCTGAGCAATGCCTCAGCATCCCAGTCTTCATCCAGACCTTCCAGGAGCCTGGCTGGAGGGGGTGTCTCTGGTGTGTCACTGAGCCTTATAGCAGAGGAAGGGGGCTATGGTGGAAACTACCTCCAAGATACCACTCAGTCCTAAGCTGGGGAACAAGCTGAGCTTGGATTCTGGTAGTGAATGAACCGGGAAACATTTATTTGAAGGGTTCTAAGAGTAGCATCGTGTGGGTGCGTTAATTGTATGTGAAGGGGAAGATCCTGAGAAAACAAGAGCTGCTCCACTCTGTGCCTGGGTTTACCAGAGGGACCGATGAGGTCCTCACAAGACCCAGGAATCCCACCGGGGGAAGGAGGCTTAGGGAGATGTGTTTAAGACTGTTAAGTGAGTCACAGACAGAAGCAGATCAAGCCATCCCACCACCTAGGTTTGTGGTTTTGTTTCTCCTAAACTTCCTTTCTGTAAGTAGCAGAACCTTCTCATCACCATCCTTCAAAACCTCTGCATTGTTTGAGCTCCTTGTATTTTCTGGAGATTAATCTCTTGCTTGCAAATATTCTTTCCCATTCTGTAGGTGGTCTCTTCACTCTGCTGTTTGTTTCCTTGATTGTGCAGAAGGTTTGCAGTTTGCTATGATCTCATTTGCCTATTTTTGCTTTTGCTGCCTGAGCTTTTGAGGGTTTTTTTTTTTTGTTTTTTTTTTTGAGACGGAGTCTCGCTCTGTCACCCAGGCTGGAGTTCAGTGGCATGATCTCAGCTCATTGCAACCTCCGCCTCCCGGGTTCAAGTGATTCTCCTGCCTCAGCCTCCCTAGTAGCTAGGACTACAGGCGAGTGCCACCACACCCGGCTAATTTTTGTATTTTTAGTAGAGGCAGGGTTTCACCACGTTTGGCCAGGCTGGTCTCAAACTCCTGACTTCAAGTGATCCACCCACCTTGGCCTCCCAAAGTGCTGGGATTACAGGCGTGAGCCACTGCGCCCGGCGTTGTATTGGATTTTTAATTCAGCCCTATTTTCTCCGACATTTGATATTGGCATTTTTGTCTTTTTTGGATATGCTAGGATCATGGTGTCATAATTTAATTTTAATTTTTATTTTTATTTTAAGTTCCGGGGTACATGTGCAGAATGTGTGGGCTTATTGCATAGGTCAATGTGCGCCATGGTGGTTTCCTGCACCTGTCAACCCATCACCTAGGTATTAAGCCCAGCATACATTAGCTATTTTTCCTAATGCTCTCCCTACCCCTACCCCACCCCCCCCCCGACAGGCCCCAGTGTGTGTTGTTCCCCTCCCTGTGTTCACGCATTCTCATTGTTCAGCACCCACTTGTAAGTGAGAACATGCAGCGTTTGATTTCCTGTTCCTGTGTTAGTTTCCTGAGGATAATGGTTTCCAGCTCCATCCATGTCCCTGCAAAGGACATGATCTTGTTTCTTTTTATGGCTTCATAGTATTCCGTGGTGTATATGTCTCACATTTTCTTTATCCAGTCTATCATTGATGGGCATTTGGGTTGATTCTATGTCTTTGCTATTGTGAATAGTGCTGCGATGAACACATGTGTGCATGTATCTTTGCAATAGAATGATTTATATTCCTTTGGGTATACGCGCAGTAATGGGACTGCTTTTACCTGTGCCAAAATACTGAAGTAGAAATGATTATTCACTCTAAAATGGAAGGTAATAAGATGTATACGTGAGCTATCAGATGCCTGGTGCTTATGAGTGAAGACAAGTCTGTCCAACGCTTCCCAACCCTGCATTCAGGGATGTCTCGTTGGCATCTTGATTATGGCCATGAAAAAAGAATTTACGTCAAGGAAATTGGTAAATGCCACTAATCATAGCATTTCAAAAAATGTCTTTTTCAGAATTAGCATACCATTGGGTCGTGACTTCAAATGCCAGTGTGTTGATTCCAGGTGGTGATATTTCAGGAGAAACTACACAGATAGCATCTGATAAGGAGGGAAGAGCTCATAGGGTCCACACAGGAGGTGAGGGCATCACGGTGCATTTATCTTTTCCTGGTCGGACTCTGATCTTCTCCCGTTGAATTAGTTCCTAAACCAGGTGCGGAACTCTGAACTGAAGACATGAAGACCCAGTAAAGTACACCAGGAAGTGTGGCAATGAGAAATGAAGAGGACTGTGTGACACGCCATGGACCAGAGCATGCAGGTGTGCAGAGGTGTGGACCCAACGCTGCCATGTGGGATGGAGCCTCATGTCTAAGTGTGGGAAAAGAGGCAGATCCAACCAAGGAAAGTCAACATTAATGGAGAGGAAAGGTATCACATTTTAATGGTTCTCCATGGATCACCCCAGAAAATGTCCCTGCACTCGGACATTGATTCCTTCCTCTGGAAATGACCAGCAGACAGTCCAGATAGCATCGGCCCTAGATTTTCTTCCAGAACCTCCTGGGATCATCAGATCTGTTCCTGAGGCTTCACGACTCTATAAAGTACATTATCCTCTCTGCTGTTCACCTCCCGGCTGCATCTTGGGAAGCTTCTCTGGCTGTGCCAAGCCTCAAATGACAGAATCCCGAGGACCACCAGGATCAAGCCAGCCACGCCCATGTGGATGAGATTCTCCACTGCGTAATCCTGAAGGTGTGAGGCTGGGGATGGTGGACAAAGAGGTCACAGAGGTCAGGGTGGATCAGATTGTCCACCCAGGGCACCCACCTCCCCTTCACAGGACCCAACCCTCAGTGCCAGCCCCATCACTGAGAGTATCTCCTCACATACCAGTCTCAGAGTCAGACTTGTTTTGTGATGGGCTGAGGGTATCAGCTGCTCCAGAGAATCAAAACAGAGAAAAAGAGACCTGAGCCCAGCCTCTCACCTGGGCTCTGCAATTTTTTTTTTATTACTTAATGTCTCATGATGTGACTTTTACAGAATTTCTAAAAAAAAAAAAAAAAAACCTCTTCCTCCGCTAGCAGGATTCCCTCTAGTCTCCTCATTGAACGATTTCAGTTTTCCTGTGTTCTATGGATTTAAACATTGCTCCTGAGTCATCTGGGAGAGAGTTTTCCTGCATCCTGAGAGCTCAGGATCTGCAAGGAAAGTGGTCCCCAGTACAGAGGTCACTAAGGCCTGTGTGCTCTCTGTGCAGCCTGGGACACAGGAGAACATGAGCCAACTCCCCCGGAGATGAGAGTTTCACGGATCCACCAGCTGAGGACCCAGGCTCCGTGGATGAGGGTTAGTCATCAGGGGAGCCTCAATGTCAGAAGCACAAAGGGGTGAAATTCTGGGGCTGCCTCCCCTTCATGCCCTCAGCCACTTCACCTGGAGTTTCATTGTCCATTTAATCTCTAGGTAGCTAATTATTCGTATAGGCAGCAACAGGTAGAATGTGATACACACACAGAAAAACACAAACACAAATATATATCTGTTTTATATATATAGTGGGCCTTAAAAACTATCTCTGCCTTCTTGAAGTGTGGGTTCACCTGGAGACAAACAGCAAACATATAGAAACACAGCAGTGGAAATTTACTAGTCGTAGCAATGGTTTTAGATATATTGGTAGAGACCTATATTTATGTGTGAATATATATTATTTGTATAGATATACGGATAACTAGGTTTCAATGTCACGTAAGATGTTGGTGTGACCACACACGCGCACACACACACACACACGTATATGCAGAGAGTGGAAGAGAGAGAGAAGGAATTCAGCCGCATGGTGTAGGTTGGTTAATTACTTGACATAAATGAGAAGCAGGCAGGACTGGGCTGAGCTGTGTCGTCAGTGAAGGTCACACTTGGAGGTGACATTGAAGCTGATTCCTCAATAGGAAAAAGGGCCAGGAAGGAGGCGTGTGGAGACCCAGACAGGGAGCAACAGAGGCTCCAGAAAGAGCAGGTCCCAGAAAGGTCTCAGCCTGTTCTTCAGAAAGGAATGGCCGCTTGTCTACAGGGTGGAGGAGGAGGCAGAGGAGGAGGGGAGATGAGCTTCGGGGCCTTGGTGGATTGAGAATAGGCCAGGATGAACCGGCCAGGAAAGAGCGGCCCCAATATCTCTCTCTCTGTCTCTCTGTCTCTGTCTCTGCCTCTCTCTCCCTCCCTCTGAGGTCTGGAAAGTGCTGTAGGGTTTCAAGGAGTGGTACCAGTCATTTGACTTTTTCTGAAAAGATAAGCCCTACCCCCTCCATAGCAAATGTCCAGAACGAAGGAAGTCCACATTTCTACCTGAAGTTTACAAAACCTCAGGGAGCACGTGAGATCAGGGCTATTACGAAACCGGGTGAGAATAAAAATAGGTGATGCTGCAAATCTACTTTCACCAGCTTGGACAAAAAGGCCAATATGAGATTTTAAAAACCCAAATAAAAAATGTCAACGGCGCAGAAGAGGAGCGGTGCACATTCCCTGAGCTGCTGCGGGAGCACGTGCAAGTCCCTGTGAGGCTCAGGTGTGCGCTGAGTGCTGGGGAGGCTGCAGGGGAAAGCAGGAAGTGGGGCGGGGTGGGGGGGGGTCGGGGGTGGATGCAGGTGGCACCGGCAGCCTGGATGCTTCTCTCTCCAGGAGGGCGTCTGTTGGGGACTGGGACACAGAGGCTCTGATTCTGAGGTGGAGACACCAGGATGGGAGCAGGTGGGGCCTCCGTCTTCCACCCTCAGTCTAATCTCAACTCCTTTGAGGTTCACCCCCCGTCTCCTCCCAGCCCTCCCTGCACTTTACTCTACTGAGACTTCAGGGGTGGGAGCCAGGGGTGGGAGGTCCCTGTCTATTTCCATCTTCCCATGGGCTGGACCCTCCCCTGCGGACCCTCTCCCTTCACTCCCCTCTTTCCTTAGTGTCCAGAGCTCTGCTGGGGGCAGGGCCTGAGCTGAGCCTTTGAGCTCAGAGAGGACAGGGTCAGCGCCCTCACCTGAGACCACGAGCTCCACGGGGCCACTGGGGTGAGACAGCAGGTAGGGGTCGGAGCTGAGTGAGCCGTAGCACCTGTAGGTCCCCGTGTGGGCTGAGGTCACAGGACTCATGGGGAATTC